>NC_000010.11:48627943-48779458 GCF_000001405.40 Homo sapiens
GGTTCCTTACCCTGCACAAGAGTTGCTTGAAGTATCAGTCCCAAGTAAAACGTATTAACACAGTGCTCTGAGACTCAAAGAAAGGAGGGCAATGGCCACAGCTGGCATCACAGGGACAGACATCTGGCCTCCTTCTCTTCCTTGCAGTGGGTGAGTGAGTCTATCTTGGGAGTCCTCAGGGTGTCTGACTGGCCACCCTCTGTTCAGGATGGCCCTGCCTTCCAGTTCTGCACTCACGCAGTCTCAGAACCAGCCCTGATGTGGCCAGGAGCATGCTGTGCCTGGTGGCAGGTCTACCATTAGTGCAGATGTTACAGTCCTTGTTTTAGCAGTTAACATTTGCTGAGCATCTACCAGGCACCTACCACACACCAGGCCCCAGTATCTTGATTCACACATATGGCCACCCAAAGATGTCTTGATAATTCTTATTTTAAGAGAAAAGTGAGGCTCAGAGCCAGTGTGTGCAAGGTCACTGGCTAGCAGATGGCTAAGTCTGCTGGGTTGAGTAACACCAGGTGGCTCCTGTCTGTTTCCATAGCAAGGATGTGGGCACAGATGTCCACCATATGCTGCTTGTATGATGGAGTTGACTGCCTGTTCTGTTGGCTCTACCCTACCACCTTGAGGCTCCAAACCACTCCATAGGTCCAGAAATCTGCTTTCAAGGCATTTGATTCCGCCTGGTGACTCCTGTTAGCAAATTTAAAGCATATGAACTTTTTGCAAGTTATCGAGTCATGGCCTTGACAATATAGTCAAAGTATATTAAACCAATAGGATTTCATCACAAAATGGACCTAAACACCTTCCCATTCCCCAGGTGGCCCCTTGGAGTCATCATCTTTGGTGCACATAGGACATGGGGCCACAGTGACATATCTTGCAGTAAGAGGAGCAAAGCTTGCCTTCCCATCCATCAACCTGGGGAGTCTGAGCTGAGAGAGGCCACCACCCTCAAGGTGCAGTGGTGGCCACTGCTGTGACTAAGGGAAGAACACAGTGCACAACCCTGACCAATGTGTCTGCTCCTTGGAGTTTATCTTGCAGGGAAAGGTGCATTCACAGCATTATGTGTAACAGTAAAAATCTAGAGACACCTGGAATGGGCTCTGTTGTGCTTCCCAGATGGCCCAGGACTAGCTCCCAGCTGCTAACACCCAGCCCTTTCAGCCTTTGCCTCCACTGGGAATTTCTCAGAGACACACTACCTTCCTAGGGGCAGCCACCACCAATGGCTGGTCATTATGGGGGCATAGAGGCCTGGTCTTCTTGCCCCAACTTAGGACAGCCTGGAAAGCCCAGCTAACCCTCAGAGCTAAGTATGGAGTCTACTGAGGCTGCTGTTGTGCCTGCATTGCAGTCTGATTTTGCCTTTTGCTCAGTCCTGCTTCCTGCCCTCTCCATGGGTGTCAATCCCAAGGTTTTCTAGATTTTTTCCTGTTTTCTTCTAGAAACTTCATATTTTGTATTTTTGTATTTAGGTCTACCATCCATTTTGAGTTGATTTTTGTAAAAAGTGTAAGGCCTATCCTTTCTCCATTGAATTACCTTGGCTCTCATCAAAGGTCAGTTAGCTACATTTGTGTGGGTCTATTTCTATTTCTCTATTTGATTCCATTCATCCACGTGTCTATCATTTTGCTCATATCACCATGTTTTGTTTACATGTTTATTTTAGAGTAAGTCTTGAATTTAGGTTGCATGCTTCCTTCATTTCTGTGTTGGTTATTCTAGATGTTTTGCCTTTCCATATAAATTTTAGAATCAGTGTGCCAATACCTATAAAATAGCTTGCTAGGATTTTGATTGAGAATTCACTGAATCTATATAGATCAATTTGGGAACAATTGACATTTAAATAATATGGAGTCTTCCAATCCGCAAACACAGAACAGCTCTCCATTTATTTCAATCTCTGATTTTTTTCCATCAATGTTTTGTGGTTTTCTGCAATAGATCCTATGCCTGTTTTGTTAATTTTATAACTAAATATTTCATTCTTTTGGTGCTATTTTAAATGACAGATTTGAAAAAAATTAATTTCAACTTTCAATTGTTCATTGCTGGTGTATGGAAAAGCAAAAAATAGCTTGCTAGGAGTTTGATTGGGATTGTACTGAGTCTATATACCAAGTTAGAAAGAAGTGACTTTTTTTTCTTTTTTCAGACGGAGTCTTGCTCTGTCACCAGGCTGGAGTGCAGTGGCGCTATCTCAGCTCACTGCAACCTCCACCTCCCTGGTTCAAGTGATTCTCCTGCCTCAGCCTCCTGACTAGCTGGGACTACAGGCCCCCGCCACCTCGCTCGGCTAATTTTTGTATTTTTAATAGAGATGGGGTTTCACCATGTTGGCCGGGATGTTCTCGATCTCTTGACTTGGTGATCCACCCACCTCAGCCTCCCAAAGCGCTGGGATTACAGGAATGAGCCACCACGCCCAGCCCAGAAATGACATCTTAACAATATTGAGTCTTCTAATCCATGACAGCGGAACATCTCTCCATTTATTTCGATTTTCTTAGATTTCATTAATCAAGAGTTTTATACTTTTCTGCATAAAGATTATGTACATATTCTGTTAGATTTATAGGTATTTCATTTTTATGCTAATGTAAATGGTATCGTGCTTTTATTTTCAAATTCCAGCTGTTCATTGTTGATATAAAAAAGGCATTGACTTTTGGATATTAACCTTATATCCTGTGACTTGCTATAATCACTTATAAGTTGCAAGAGTTTTTTCCATCAATTTTATGGAATTTTCTGCATAGACAATCCTGTCTTCTGTGAAAAAAGGCAATTTTATTTCTTCCTCCATTCTGTATATATATGGCTTCCTTCTCTTGTCTTACTGCATTTGCTAGGACTTCCAGTACAATGTTGAATAAGTGTGGTGAATTGCCTTGTTCCCAACATAGTGGGAGAACATCTAGTTTCTCACAATTAAGTATACATTTTGCTGTAGGGTTTTTGTGGATGTCCTTTATCAAGTTGAGGAAGTTACCTCTAATTCTAGTTTGCTAAAAGTTTTTATCATGAATGAGTGTTGGATTTTGTCAAATGTTTTTTCTGCATTAATTCATATGATCATATGATTTTTCTTCTTTAGCCTGTTGATGTGGTGGGTTACCACATTGTTTATCACATATTAACTACCACATAATAGTTTTTTGAGTGTTCAATCAGCCTTCCATATCTGGAATAAACTCCACTTGGTTGTGGTATATAATTCTTTTTATACATTATTGGATTCAATTTGCTAATATTTCATTAAGGACTTGTTTACATCTATATTCATAAAAGATACTGATGTGTAGCTTTTCTTTCTTGTCTTTATCTGGTTTGGGTATTAGGGTGCTGTTAGCCTCACAGAATGAGTTAGAAACTGTTACCTCCATTTTTATATTCTGGAAGATACTGTAGAGAATTTATCTAATTTCTTCCTTAAGTGTTTGGTAGAATACACCAGTGAAACCATTTGAGAACTAGTGCTTACTTTGTTGGAAAATTGTCATTTATTTAACTTCTTTAATAGTTATAAGCCAATTAAAATGATATATTTCTCCTTGGGATATCAATTATACTTCTTAAAAATATTTTCTTGTTGCAGTAGATTTTGCAATATATATTTACAGCTAATCTGAGTCCACTCTCAAATAACACTACTACTTAAAAAATAGTACAGGTTCCTTATATCAGTATTCCCAGTTCCTCCATCCTGTTCCTTATAATATTACTGACATTCACTTTGGTTATCTACGTGTTATAATCACCCTACATATTGTTGCTATTGTTACTTGGACAAACAGTTACCTGTTAGATCCATTAAGCATGAGAAAAATGAAGACTTTGTTTTACTTTCATTTATTCCTTCTCTGATGCTCTTTCTTTATGTAGATCTGAGTTTCTCACCCATCATTTTCTTTCTCTCTTTTAACATTTCTTGTAGGACAAGCAATGAATACTCTTGGTTTTTGTTTGTCTGGGAAAGTCTTTATTTAGTCTCACTTTTTTTTACAATGAAAATTATTTTTCTATTTCAATACTTTTGGGGTACAGGTGGTTTTGGTTACATGGATGAATTCTATAGTGGGGAATTCTGAGATTTCAGTGCACCTGTCACTCGAGCAGTGTACACTGTACCCAATATGTAGTCTTTGGTCCCTCAACCTCCTCCCAACCTTCCCCACGAGTCCTCAAAGTCCATTATATAATTCTTACGCCTTTGCATCCTCATAACTTAGCTCCCACTTACAAGTGAGAACATATGATATTTGCTTTTCCATTCCTGAGTTACTTCACTTAGAATAATGGCCTCCAGCTCCATCCAAGTTGCTGCAAAAGACATTATTTCATTCCTTTCTATTAGCCTTCACTTTTGAAGAAAAATTCCAGTAGTTATGCAATCCTATGTTGGTAGGGAGTTTTATTGCAGCAGTTTTAATGTACAAACTATTCAACATATTTTTTTTTCAACAGTTGAAATATTTCCC
Organism: Homo sapiens; assembly: GCF_000001405.40. Taxonomy (NCBI): domain Eukaryota; kingdom Metazoa; phylum Chordata; class Mammalia; order Primates; family Hominidae; genus Homo; species Homo sapiens. The sequence continues at coordinate 48,632,440 of NC_000010.11, forward strand.
TTCACTCTCCACTTGCTTGCATGACTTCTGTTGTGAAGTCTGATATAATTCCTATCCTTGTTCTTCTAAAGGAAAGGTGATCCCCATACCCCTGGCTTCTTTCAAGATTTTCTCTGTCTTTTGTTTTCTGCATTTTGAATGTGAGACACCTAAGATGTGTATATTTTTTGTTTTTATCCTGCTTAGGTCTGTGGTTTGTTTTCTGTCACTGCCTGGAGTTGGCCAACTCCAAGTTTAGAGTGCACACAGGTCTTCACAAGACCAGCCTCACTTCCAACACCAACTGCAAATTGGGGGGTGTTCCCAAAACCACCCAGGCTAGGAGCTGTGCCGTCTTTAATATTTGCTGTGTCTGCAGATGCCAGAGCGAAATCATTGATTTTAAGTTTGCACAGATTTTACCTTGTTGTAAGGATGAGAGTGAAAATGTCTAAGCTTTTCACATGTCAAAGATGAAACCAGAAGCCAGAGTCTTTCCATTTTCATCACTACTGCACAACGCTGACTATTCTTTTCCTTCATCTACCCCTGGAAGATCCTGAGTCACCTGCCAGAGGACATCACCTGCCACACGGAGGACATCAGTGGACAGTTCCCTCAGGCCTTTCCATTGGATGATATGAGAAGAGCATGAGCTCCAGAAGGTAAGAGTTTTTGCCAATTATGTTGCCTGCTGTATTCCAGTGCCTAGAGCAGTGCCTGGCACAACTCATGTTTGCTGGGTGACTGAATAAATTATCAACCCTTAGGAAACTTTTGAGATCATTTCCCAGGCCTGTCCACCTTTAATGGCCCCAGTCAGCTCTCATTTCTGCAGACAATCTACCTTCCTCTGAGACTCCCAGGTCTGAGGTTTGCAGTGACTGCATGCTGGAGAAGTAAAACTGGGAGAAAGCTCCAAATGTAGGGTTCCTGTGTCCAGAGTCTCCATCATATCACTTGGTTTTCAAAAAATTCCCAAAGGAAACAATTCTCAGCCAGAGATTAACAGTGGCATCTGATTGTTTGTCTGGAAGGGAGTTCCCACTTATTCAGGGTTTACCCTGTGCCTTTCCTTGAACTCTTTTCTTTTAATTAGACATGTAATCCTTATTACAGTCTTGTGAGATATGGCCTATTGTGGTCTCACTTTTACAATGAGGAAATGAAGCAGAGAGATTATATCACTTGAGTAAGGGCATAGAGTAAGCAGGTGGTAGAACCTGGATCCACACCCAGGCCTGGCTTTCTCTAGACTGTTTTTACATTTTGTGGGAAAATGATGCCAGCAGCAGGGAGGGAGGGCTGGCTTTCCCTGTGGACTTTCCACAAGAAAATCCCTGTTGACATCCATCTGCAGAAGGAGATGGGCAGGTTAATAGAGACAGGATCATTCCACGGGGCTAAGAGGAGGAGGGAGCAGAGGGCTGGGCATGGGAGGAGGGAGAGCCTTTCCTAACTGAATGCTGGGCCAAGCTGGCTGCGGGATGCCCTGACTCCTGGAAATCTCTGGGGCAGGTGTCTGAGAGTTGACACCATGGGCATCTATGCCCTATGTTCTCCCTCACCTTCTTCCTGGCCACCAGGATGCTGCTTCCTCCCACGCTTGTTTCTATGATAACTGGCAGGAAGTGTTATCTGCTAGCCAGCTCACCTGTTGAGAGAAGCCAGTTTGCACTAGTAGCTCAGTAGTATCATGGGTAGCTGAATGGGTACTTTCAGATTTGGGTGGCGGATTTGATGGGAGCAGCCAAAAGGTGCCATCAATGTCCCTAAAAGCAGAGGTACTGCTGTGAGTGAGCACTAAAGATGGGTCAGCTCAGATCTGGGTTGAGTCCTGTCTGCCACTAACTAGCTGTGAGCTTTTGGCAAGTCAGTAAACTTCAGATCTTCTGCTTCCTCATCTAGCCAACAGGGAAAAGTGCTCTGCCCCCACAGAGCTGGGCCATAGGAGAGGATAAGCTGCTGGGTGCAGAGGGCGGTGAGCCTGCACTGTGGTTTGCCCATTTCACAACCATTCCCAGAGTCAAATCATTTCTCCCAGATGTGCAGAAACAGAAACCATTGTAGGAAACTGGGTCTCTAAGAAGAGCCGCTGACTCAGCCCTTATTTGGTTCTGTGGCTGGGGGTGGGTGAGCCTGGGCTTCCGCTTGGCTCCCTAGAGGGTAGTGTGGCTGGCAGGGCATCTGTCTAGACACTCTCTGAGGCTCTGCCCAGCCTGTTCTTTGGAATAGACTCTCCTCTGCTTCTCAGGGCTGACAGCTCTGAGCCCAGGAAAGCAAGAGGGCTGAATTGTGTCCCCCGACTCCAGTTCATGATGAAGCCTAACCCCCACCGCCCCATACAGAAAGTGGCTGTATTTGGAGATAGGGCCTTTAAATATCAAAGTTAAAATGAGTGATTAAGTTAAAATGAGGTCATTAGGGTGGGCCCTAGTCCAATATGACTAGAGTTCTTATAAGCAGAGGAGATAAGGACACAGATACCAACTGTGTGAAGACACAGGAAGAAGGTGATATTTACAAGCCAAGGAGAGAGGAGAAAGAAGCTTGCTAACACATTGATCTTAGACTTCCAGCCTCCAGAATGGGAAAAAATACATGTATGTTGTGAAAGCCCTGGGGCCCGAGGTGCTTTGTCATGGCAGCCCGAGCAGACTCATGTACCTGCCCTCCCTCTTCCTCAGTGTGAACAAGGGAATTCCAGCACCCATGGGAGGCTCTTGGAGGCTAGGCTCCTTCTGGGTCCACCGTGAATGAAGCACTTCACCTTGTTTCTGGGCCTCTGTCTCTTGTTGCCCCCACCCCCACTTCTGCACTGGGCCTGGTGTTTCCCTGGACCCCGACTCCCTGTCTCCTCAGGCATGACTAGTTTCATACTCCTCCAAGGTTGGTAAGAGAAAAATGCCTGGGGTTTAGGTTATAGCTTGAAGCACAGCTTTGGGTGCTCCGTAACTTGTCCCAGCCCCTTGGCCAGCTCCAAGTTCAGCCACAGCTGTGGTGAAACGTCCCCTCTTAGGTGAGCCCACTGATGGCTTCCCGCTCCAGGCTCTCAGCCCTCGGCTTTCTCTGAAGCCACAGGGACCCTAAGCCCTGGGCAAACAAATGCAGTCCAGAAGGGCTGGGTGTCCACACCCCTGGGGTTGCCCTCAGCCAAGGGAGAAAGGGGGCCGGGTAACCCCCACCCTCTCCCCTTCCAGGCTTATGGCAGGTGAGTCTGCACTCTTCCCAGAGTCCCTGTGGAAGTGAGTCTTGGGACAGCAGCAACCTTCATTATGCCCCTCACACTGGCCTTCCCTCCTTCCTGGTGTCACTCTTTGCCCCATCAGTCCTGCTTCCTGGCATCACCTCCCAAATAAACCACCTGCACCCAAGCCCTTGTCTTAGGCTCTGCTATTGGACAACATAAACTTAGACTACTTCCTGGCTGGGGAAGCAGGATGGAAGGACTGCACTTTTGAGCTTCAGTTTTCTCCTCTGTAAAATGGGAACATTAATATCTTGCAAGCTGGCTACAGGAATTAAATGACATCACCCCTGTGGATATTGAAGAGAGTTGTAAACCGTGCAAGGTGATCTCAATGTTGTTATTTATTATTATTTTTAGTTTGGTGGTAGCATCAGGTCCTTACTCTCTCTCTCTTTTCATTAAAGAAAGAAGAAGGAAAATCTCCATCTTCAGACTCATTTCCCAGGGGTCCTGTGCTGCCAGGTGCAGGTGAACATCCTGGAGAGGCTTGGGGGTTAAGGGGTTAATGACATGGCTGCTCCTTCTTCCTCTGCCCTGCACAGCTTCAGCATTTCTCTGGTGGCTGTCGATAAAGGCATGTTAGCTGTGGGGACACTGCATGAAGGAGACATTCAGGGTGTCTGGGTCTTTCCAGCCCAGCCCTGCATCCATGCTGTCTGTGTGCCTGTGTCCCATGCTTGGTGCTTGTGCAGGGAGACTGGGGTGAGCAGGATGGAGGCCTTAGAGCTTGTGGTATGGCCCTGGTCCTCTTCCAGGAATGTCTGCTTGAGTCTGCCCACTGGGCTGCTCCTGCCCAGGCTCCAAGAGCCAACAGGGATTCTCCCTGCTCTGAGACCCTGCCCTGAATCCATGGGTTGCATCGGGGTCCTCCTGTTTCTTGCTGCTCCTTGTACCACCTGCACCACAGCCCTGCCCTTTTGCAGACCACGATCTCCTAGAGAGGAGGGGATATATCTTTACACGTGTTATGTGTGTCCAAGCTTTAGAGCCATGACTGCTGGCAAACAGTACCAGCTCAAGACCCATGGCTATAGTCATCGCTAGTAGGACAGTGGGAGACCAGTGAGGAGTTCTCACCTGAGGTCACCACAAAGAGGCCACGAAGTGGGCAGGCAAAGCCCAGACCTTGAGTGGCATGCAAAACCCAGAGTGCTGGGAGGGAAGTCAGAAGGGACAGGACAAAGGGTTCAGGAAGCAGAGCCACTCATAGAATCAGGATATGAAAGTAAAAGGTAACAAGTTGGAATAGTACATTGGGGTGGGCAGAAGACATATCAGGGAGGGCCGGAGTCTGAGAGGCTTTCTCATGATGGCCAGGACTTTAGCTTCATTCTGAGAGCTCCAGCGTGAAGGGCCAGAATGGGTGGTTAGGACAATCAGAAAAGCTGCCTGCATACACATTGCTGCCATCCCTGCCAGGCCAGTCTCTGAGAAGCTGATCTCCCCAGAAGCCAACCAGGCCTCTAGATGAATGCCACTGAGAGTTTACTGCCCTGGGCATCCATATTTCTGAAGCTGCAGATGGAGACAGGCTCCAACTATTGTGTCGAGGTGGGGGGCAAGGGGTAGAAAGGAGCCATGAATTATTGCTTGTGTGAGGCCACACAATAGGTGTCATTCATCACTCACAGAGCTGTTGTCCAGAGATGGCCGACAGGGGACACAGGTATACAGATGGATGGATGGATGGTGAATGAATGAGTGGCAGATGAGTAGCCAATGGATGAATGGTGAATGAGTGGGTGGATGGGTGGGTGGATGGACGGGTGGGTGAATGGGTGGATTTGTAGGTAGATGGATAGATGGTAGATGGGTGGGTAGATGGATGGATGGTAAAGAAATGAGTGGATGAATGACTGGTGGATGTATAAATGGATGGATGGATGGGTAAATGGATGGATGGATGGGTAGATGGATGGATAAATGGTGGATGGGTGGGTGAATGGATGGATGGCAAATGGGTGAATAGATGGATGGATAGATGGATAGATGGATGGTGGATGAGTGGATGGGTGGATGGATGAATTGTGGATGAATGGGTGAATGGATGGTGCTGGGATCAGTGAGACGGGATGAAAAGAAGGCAGAACCTGCTGGAAGGGTCAGTAAGAAAAGGCACAAAGTATCCTCACTTCACCTACCCCTTCACCTACATTCCCCTCCCAACAAGGATGTCTCCATCCTCCTCGCTGCTAAAGCCAGTAGGCTGGCATCAACTTACCTTCTTTCTCCCCCTTTTCCACATGCTGCCAGCCACTTGTGCATTCCATCTTCTTAGACTCTTATGTTTCTACCACCACTTTTTGGCCTATATTCTCATAAGCTCTCCCTTGGACTGCTTAAGTAGTCTCCTGCCTAGTAGCTCTCCCTGCTCTGGTCTCTTCTCCCTCTGCCCATCCACTACCCCTCCTAGAGCCATTCCCTTAGAATCTTAGAATGGCTTCCAATCTTCCACCGTTTTCCCCTAACAGAAACTACAGAATGAGGTCTGGTAGCTGCTTCGTAATGCAACTTGGCTAGGCTGAGTTACACTTCCCAGGATTCCCTTTTGTGTATCTTTCCTATAAGTCTGTGCCACGGGGAGATTCTTGGGGGGATTTGGGAGACATACATTGCTGCTGATCAGTGGAATCACCTCATCAGTGTGAAGCAGCAGCTGGGCCTGCCATTGTTCCACCTTCCCATGAAGCCTTGGGCAGCTTCTTCAACTCGCGGGCCAGGAGTGTGTGTGTTGTGTGTGTGTGTGTATGTTTAGCTTAATGATGAAGGGCCCTGGCTTCTGCAGGATTACCTTGTACCACTAAAACTAATCATCTCATTACCCAGCTAGAAACCCCAGACACCTGAGTGCCTCCCCTGCCCAGTACTGTCAAGTGTTGTCCATTTTTCTTCCCAGTATCTCTTGAACCTCATTTTCCCTCTACATTCTTACTTACTCAAGCCCTCAGGAAGGTCACCTGACCACCATTAGTCCCATCTCCATGCTATTTATTCATTCATTCAACAAACAAGTATTAAACATATATTATGTGCCAGGCATAATTCTAGGCACCGTGCAAAGAGCTCTATCTTTAAACTTCCCCTTCCCCTCCTAATTCTAGTGGTGCTTAATGAACAAAGGGATAATGGCAATAATGCCTGCAAGATCGTGCCTATATCCTAATAAGAAAGCGGATATGGGAAACTTGAAAAAAAGAAGTAAAAGGCAGGACTTCCAGCTATGGCTAAATGATGAAGTCAGCAAATTCTCTCCCAAAAACACAATCATAAATCTTGAAAAAACTGACATAAACAACCATTTCTGTACTCTGGAAATTGACCAAAGACATGCAACAATCAGAAAAGTAGTTATGCTTGAAAAACTTCTAAACTTTGAGTAAGAACAGAATGAGTCTGCTTTGCACTGTTGTACTGTTTGTTAGGGCAATTCCCATCCCACTTCTCTAAGCTCAGTCCTCACACAGGTTCTGTCAGGGTGGGGCATTGTCATGGGGAGCAGCAATTTTGCGCATGCAGTCCAAAGTTGCTTATTCAATTATGATTGTCAGTACTACTGACAATACTGGCAGCTAGTGAATGGGGAGGACCAATGCTCAATTAGTCTGAGGTTGCAGTCAAGGTTGGGGCAAATATATTCCTGGCTTGGACTGTATGCATGTGCAGTGGAGACCAAAGATAGCTCAAAGTATCCACACATTCTTGCCAACTCTAAGACTGAGGGCATGTGCAGAGGTTATATGAAAGGTCCAACAGAAAGTAAAAGCCAAGGCAGTCTTGAAAACAACCTGAACTTTGAGAGTATTTCCCTACCCATGCACAGATCTATGGGCAGAGAATAGAGGGCTTACGGGCTCATGGTTTGTATATGACATCTGTCTCATCACTGGCTGATTACTAAATTACACAGAAACAAGAGTGACCCCTAGGAAGGCAGGTTTAAAGGTACGAGCAAGAGTAAAGGCAAATATAACAGATATTAGTGGCTATGTTCTGTGAGGGAGACAGATTTCACAGATTTAGGCTAGGCAAGTTATTAAACAAATGAACAATTTAACAACAACATTAATCATGTGAGAAAATCAGAATTCAGCGTTCTTAAAATATGTTATCTAAAATGCCCACTTTCTAACAACCAAAAAACAAAAGGGAAGTACAAAGGAAAAGTGTGACTCATATGTAAAAAAAAAAGTCAATTGAAACTGTCTCTTTGAGTATTGCCAGATTTTGGATTTAACAGAGACTTTCAAAATAGCTATTGTAAATATGTTTACAAAAACTTAAAGAAACATGATTGAAGAATTACAGGGACATAGGACAATAATAAATCAATAAATAGAGAATTTCAATGAGATAGAAAATATTTAAAACCAAATGGAAATGCTTGAGTTGAACATTCAATAACTAAAATAAAAATTTGCTGGAGGAGCTCAGCAGAAGATTTGAGGAAGGAGAATAAAGAACAGGTGAATGTAAAGACAGAGTTATCGAAATTAGCGAACCTGAAGAACACAAAACAATTTTAAAAATTGAAGCACAAAGAAAAGACTTTCAGAGACCTGTAAAGCAACATAAAGCATGCCAACATATGTGTAATGCAAGTCCCAGACAGGAGGAGACAAAAAAGAAAAAGACAGGAAAACTATTTGAAAAAGATAATTACTGACAACTTCCTAAATTTGATGAAAAACATTATTTTTCATGTATAATTATCTCAAAGAATCCCAAGTAGGATAAATACAAAGAGATCTATACCTCAGCACATTAGAGACAAACTCTTGAAAGTCAAAGAGAAAATCTTGAAGTAGCAAAAGAAAAATGTCTTGTCACATGAAAGGGAGTACTGATGCAATTAACAGTTGCCTTGTCATCTGAAACAGTGAGGGCTAGAAGTGGGAGGACGTATTCAAAGTGTTGAAAGAAAAATACAAACTGTTAATTAAGAATTCTATATCAAAAAATATATCCTTCAAAATGAAGGCAAAATAAAGATATTTCCAGAAAAACAAAGACTGATAGAATTCCTTGCTAGCTGATCTATGTTATAAGACATTAAAGGAAATTTTTTAAGCTGAAAGGAATTTCACTATGCAGTAACTTGAATCTGTAGGAATAAATGAAAAACACAGGAAATGGTAAACATGTGGGTTAATATGAAGGTCCCATAAATTTATTTTTCCTCTTAACATCTTTTAAAGACATAGTATGTATAAAGCTATAGTTATAACAGTGTATTTTTGGGCTTATCATGTATAAATAAGGATTATAAATGTTATATATGATAAGCCCAAAACAATAGTAGCACAAAGGAAAATGGATAAAATGAAGCTGTCTTGGAGCAAAAGTTTGTGCATTTTACTGGAATTATTAATCTGAAGTAGATTAAGGTAAAATGCATATTGTAATCTCTAGAGCAAACACTAAGACAACACAAAAAATACAGTAAAAAATAGAAAAATTAAAATGGTATACTAGAAAATATCTATCTAACACAAAAGAGGGTAAAAGAAAAACAGGAACAAAAAAGAGAAGACATACATAAAACAAATTATAAAATGGCAAATGTAAATTCAAACATATCAATAATTATATTAAATGTGAATGGTCTAAATACCTCAATCAAAATACAAAGACTCTCCATAAAATAGCAAGATCCATTAGTATGCTGTCTAAAAGAGACACATTACAGATTCAAAGACACAAACTGGTTAAAAGAAAAAGAATGGAAAAATATATGCCACACGCTTCATCCCTGGGATGCAAGGCTGGTTCAACATACGCAAATCAATAAATGTAATCCAGCATATAAACAGAACCAAAGACAAAAACCACATGATATCTCAATAGACGCAGAAAAGGCCTTTGACAAAATTCAACAGCCCTTCATACTAAAAACTCTCAATAAATTAAGTATTGATGGGACGTATCTCAAAATAATAAGAGCTATTTATGACAAACCCACAGCCAATATCATACTGAATGGGCAAAAACTGGAAGCATTCCCTTTGAAAACTGGCACAAGACAGGGATGCCCTCTCTCACCACTCCTATTCAACATAGTGTTGGAAGTTCTGGTCAGGGCAATCAGGCAGGAGAAAGAAATAAAAGGTATTCAATTAGGAAATGAGGAAGTCAAATTGTCCCTGTTTGCAGATGACATGATTGTATATTTAGAAAACCCCATTCTCTCAGCCCAAAATCTCCTTAAGCAACCTCAGCAAAGTCTCAGGATACAAAATCAATGTGCAAAAATCACAAGCATTCCTATACACCAATAATAGACAAACAGAGAGCCAAATCTTGAGTGAACTCCCATTCACAATTCCTTCAAAGAGAATAAAATACCTAGGAATCCAGCTTACAAGGGATGTGAAGGTCCTCTTCAAGGAGTACTACAAATCACTGCTCAACGAAATAAAAGAGAACACAAACAAATGGAAGAACATTCCATACTCATGGATAGGAAGAATCAATATCATGAAAATGGCCATACTGCCCAAGGTAATTTATAGATTCAATGCCATCCCCATCAAGCTACCAATGACTTTCTTCACAGAACTGGAAAAAACTACTTTAAAGTTCATATGGAAACAAAAAAGAGCCCGCATTGCCAAGACAATCCTAAGCAAAAAGAACAAAGCTGGAGGCATCACGCTACCTGACTTCAAACTATACTACAAGGCTACAGTAACCAAAACAGCATGGTACTGGTACCGAAACAGAGATATAGACCAATGGAACAGAACAGAGCCCTCAGAAATAACACCACACATCTACAACCATCTGATCTTTGACAAACCTGAGAAAAACAAGCAATGGGGAAAGGATTCCCTATTTAATAAATGGTGCTGGGAAAACTGGCTAGCCATATGTAGAAAGCTGAAACTGGATCCCTTCCTTACACCTTATATAAAAATTAATTCAAGATGGGTTAAAGACTTAAATGTTAGACCTAAAACCATAAAAACCCTAGAAGAAAACCTAGGCAATACCATTCAGGACATAGGCATGGGCAAGGACTTCATGTCTAAAACACCAAAAGCAATGGCAACAAAAGCCAAAATTGACAAATGGGATCTAATTAAACTAAAGAGCTCCTGCACAGCAAAAGAAACTACCGTCAGAATGAACAGGCAACCTACAGAATGGGAGAAAATTTTTACAATCTACTCATCTGACAAAGGGCTAATATCCAGAATCTACAAAGAACTCAAACAAACTTACAAGAAAAAAACAAACAACTCCATCAAAAAGTGGGCAAAGGATATGAACAGACTTTTCTCAAAAGAAGACATTTATGCAGCCAACAGACACATGAAAAAATGCTTATCATCACTGGCCATCAGAGAAATGCAAATCAAAACCACAATGAGATACCATCTCACACCAGTTAGAATGGCAATCATTAAAAAGTCAAGAAACAACAGGTGCTGGAGAGGATGTGGAGAAATAGGAACACTTTTACACTGTTGGTGGGACTGTAAACTAGTTCGACCATTGTGGAAGACAGTGTGGCAATTCCTCAAGGATCTACAACTAGAAATATCATTTGACCCAGCCATCCCATTACTGGGTATATACCCAAAGGATTATAAATCATGCTGTTATAAAGACACATGCACACGCCGCAATAAACACGCATGTTTATTGCGGCACTATTCACAATAGCAAAGACTTGGAACCAACCCAAATGCTCATCAATGATAGACTGGATTAAGAAAATGTGGCATGTATAAACCATGGAATACTATGCAGCCATAAAAAAGGATGAGTTCATGTCCTTTGTAGGGACATGGATGAAACTGGAAACCATCATTCTCAGCAAACTATTGCAAGCACAAAAAACCAAACATCGCATGTTCTCACTCATAGGTCGGAATTGAACAATGAGAACATTTGGACACACGAAGGGGAACATCACACACCAGGGCCTGTCATGGGTTGGTGGGAGGGGGGAGGGAGAGCATTAGGAGATATACCTAATGTAAATGACGAGTTAATGGGTGCAGCACACCAACATGGCACATGTATACATATGTAACAAACCTGCATGTTATGCACATGTACCTAGAACTTAAAGTATAATTAAAAAAAAAAAAATATATATATATATATATGCCACACAACAGTAAACATAAGACAGCTGGAACTGGTCATGTTAATATATGATAAAATAGACATTAAGAAAAGAAACATTCTGGGCCAGGCGTGGTGGCTCACGCCTGTAATCCCAGCACTTGGGGAGGCCAAGGCAGGCAAATCACCTGAGGTGGGGAGTTTGAGACCAGCCTAAACGACATGGAGAAACTCCATCTCTACTAAAAATACAAAATTAGCTGGGCGTGGTGGCACATGCCTGTAATCCCAGCTACGTGGGAGGCTGAGGCAGGAGAATCGCTTGAACCTGGGAGGCAGAGGTTGCGGTGAGCCGAGATCGTGCCATTGCACTCCAGCCTGGGCAACAATAGCAAAACTCTATCTCAAAAAAAGAAAGAAAGAAAGAAAAAGAAACATTCTGAAAAAGAGGAATATTTAACAATGAAAAACAGTAATGGTATTAGGAAGCTGTAACAATTATAAATGTATGGAGATAACATGAGAGCCCCAAAATGCATGAAGCAAAAACAGACGGTATTGAAGAAGAAACAGAGGACTAATTAATTAGAGTTGGAGATTTCCATATCCCAATCTCCATAATTGATAGAACAACTAGACAGAATATCAGCAACTATATAGAAGTCTTGAACAACAGTATCAACTAATTTGACCCAATCAACATACATAGGGCACTCCTAACAATGACTGCAGAATATACATTATTTTCAAGTACATTTAGAATATTCTCTAGGAGAGACCTATGGTAGGCCATAAAACAAGTCCTGATCAATTAAAAAATCTAAATCATATAAAGTACATTATCTATCTTGGAATTAAATTAGAAATAACAACAGAAAGCGATTTTGGAAACCCTCAAATATTTGGAAGTTGAACAACACACTACTAAATCAGCCACACATCACACAGGAAATCAGAAGGGAAGTTGGAACATATTTTGAATGGAATGAAAATGAAAAATAATATGCCAATATTTATGGTATACAGCAAAATCACTATAGGGAAATCTATAGCTTTAAATGCGTATATCAGAATATAAGGGCTCAAATCAATAAGCTAAGCTTTCATGTTAAGAAACTAGAAAAATTAGAAACTAAATCTAAATCAAGCAGAAAAAGAAAGAATAAAGAGAAATAAAATAAAGAAATAAAAAAATCAATGAACTAGAAAACAGTAAAACATTAGAGAAAATCCATGAAACAAAAAGCTAGCTTGTTGAAAAGATTAATAAAATGGAAAAGCCTTTATCTGGACTGACAAAGAATAAAAAATCAGTAATGAAAAAGGGGACATAATATCAACTCAACTGAAATTAAAAAGACTTATCAAAGAATACTATGAACAACCTTACGCCAACAAAGACAGAAATAATCATACATATACATGCACGTGCCCCCACCTCCCGCCACAGACGTATAAATAGGTATAACACCAATACTTCACAACATTTTTCAGAAAATGAGAGAACACTTCCCAACTCATTCTATGAGGCCAGTATTACCTTGATATTAAAGCTAGATGAAGACCTTCTACAAAAAGAAAACTACCAGGCTAATATCCCTCATTAACATACATAAAAATGCTCAACAAAATATTAGCAAAGTAAATTCAGCAAGATATAAAAAGGATTATACACCATGAATCAATGGGATTTATCCCAGGAATGTAACATTAGTTTGACACCTGAAAAAATCAATTAATGTTGTACATCTATTACACATCTATATATTTTATTAATAGAAATAGAATAAAGGACAAAACCCATATAATCATCTAATGGATGCAGAAAAGCATCTGACAAAATCCAATAGCCATTCATGATTTTAAAAAACAACAACTCTCAACAAACTAGGAGTAGAAGGGAAATTAATGTGTTAAAGGGTATCTATGACAAACCCAGAGACCAATATCATATGTAACCATGAAAATACTGAATGCTTTCCCCTTAAAATAAGGACAAAGGCAGAGGTAGCCACTTTCTCCACTTCTAGTCAACAATATACTGTATTATTCTATCCAGTACAATAGACAGTGAGAGACAAAGGGAAAAAAGAGGGTCGGGAGAGGGAAGGAGGGGAAGAGAGGCAGAGAAAAATTTAAAGCCAGATTGGAAAGGAAGAAGAAAATCTGTCTTTATTTGCAGATGATATGATACTGTGTTTGGAAAATTATCACAAGAACTAATTTAAAAATCTGCTAGAACTAATAAGTTTTTCAAAGTTGCAGAATACAAGATGGACATAGCAAAAATCAATTGTATACCTACACATCAGCAACAAAAACTCCATAAATGAAATTAAGAAAACAACACCATTCACAATAATATCAAAAAGAATAAACTATTTAGAAATAAATTTAACAATGATGTGAAGACATGCAGAAAACACTTCTGAGAGAAGATTAAGAAGATATAAATAATTAGAAGTACATTTCTTTCTCATGAAGTTAAAGAATCAATATTGTCAGGATGGCAATTATCTTCCAATGAATCTACAAATTCAATGTGATTCCTATCAAAATCTCAGAAACATTTTATGGGGTGGAGAAATTGGCATGCTAATTTGAAATTTTATATAAAAACACAAAGGGCCTAGAATAGGCAAAATAATTTTGTAAAAGAATAAAGTTACACACTACCTATTTTTACATTTTCTCCAAAGTTATAGTAATCAAGATAGTATGGTATAGGCACAAGGATAGGTCTACAGGTCAATAGAATATAATTGAGAATCCAGAAGTAAACCCCAATATTTGTGGCTAGCTGATAGTTCACAAAGGAGCTTGGGCAATTCAGTGGGGAAAGGAAAATTTTTTAACAAATGGTGTTGGGACAATTGGCTATCCATAAGCGAAACAGCAGCAGCAACAACAACAACAACAACAAAAACCCTTCAAACAAACAAGCAACAAAACAACCCTTTGACTGTACCTCATACTATATACAAAAATTAACTCAAAATTGGTCTTAGCTCTAAATGTAGATGCTAAAACCATACAACTTCTAGAAACAAACACAGGAGAAAGTGTTTGTGATGTTGGGTTAGGTGGACTCTTAGATACCATATCAAAAGCATGATTCATAAAAGAAAAGATAGAAAAACTGAACTTCGACAAAATTAAGATTTTTTGCACTTTAAAATTTAAGTACACCATTAAGAAAATTAAAAGTCAAGCCACAGACTAGGAGAAAATTTAGGCAAATTATATATCTGATAATAGATTTGTATCTAGAACATGTAAACATTCTTACCACTCTAATAAGACAGACAACCTGATTTAAAAATGGGCAAAAAATTTAAATAGGCATGTTACCAAAGAAGACATACAAACAGGCTGGGCTTGGTGGTTTACACTTGTAATCCCAACACTTTCGCAGGCTGAGAGGGGTGGATCACCTAAAGTCAGGAGTTTGAGACCAGCCTGGCCAACATGGTGAAACCCTGTCTCTACTAAAAAGACAATAACTAGCTGTGCGTGGTGGTGGGTGCCTGTAATCCCAGCTACTCAGGAGGCTGAGGCAGGAGAATCGCTTGAACCGGGAGGCAGAGGTTGCAATGAGCCGAGATCACGCCATTGCACTCCAGTCTGGGCGACAAGAGCAAAACTCAGTATCAAAAAATATAAAAATGGAAATAAAAAGGCATATGAATAGTTAATAAGCACAGGAAAGTACATTCAACATCATTAATGGTTAAGCAAATGCAAATCAAATCCCCAATAAAATACCACTTTACACCCGCTAGGATAGCTATAATAAAACAATAGCAAGTGTTGGTGAGGATGTGGAAACATTGGGACCCTTATGTATGAGGTGGGATTGTATGACGGTGGGAATGTAAAATGGTACAGAGATTTCAGAAAACATTTTGACAGTTTCTTAAAAATTAAAAAATAAACCTACCATACGACCCAGCAAGAGAAATGAAAGCCGTGTGTTCACAGAAGCATATGCATGTGAATGCTCATAACAGCATCATTCGTAATAATCCCAATCCAAAAACAACCCAAAAGTCCATCAACGGGTGAGCGGAGAAACACAATGTGCATCCCTACAAGGGAGTATTACTCAGCTACAAAGGAGCACACTGATCACTGATTCACACGAGAACATGAATGACCCTCAAAACGTTATGCTACATGAAAGAAGCCCAATGCAAAACACTACACAGTTTATGCTTCCGTTTATAGAAAATGTCCAGAAAAGGCACATTTATGAAGACAAAAAGCAGATCAATGGTTTCCTTAGGTTGGGGTTGGGAGGAAGGGTTAGTTGCAGATGGGCTTGAGGGAATTTTTTGAGGTGCCGGAAATGCCCTAAAACTGGATTGTGATGATGGTTTTACAACTCCATGAATGTAGTTAAAATAATTTAGCTGTGAACCTCGAATGGGTGAATTTTATTGCATGTAACTTACATATCAATAAGGCTGTTGAAATACATAGAATATGATAATAACCAATGCCATGAAGAAAAAAAGATGGGAAAGGAGTATGGGAAGGCAGGGCAGGGTTTCAATTACTGCAGTCATTAAAATCTCCAGGCCCCCAGGATGTGGTGGGACTGCACTTCCTGGGCCCCTTGCAGTTGATTGGGGCAGTGATTAGTGTGGGACAGAGTTGTGAGCAGAGTGTGATGTGTGTCCCTTCCCGGCTGAGGATTTAACTGCTGACGTGAGACCATTCACAAGCTCACTGTTTCTCGGGCCTCTGGTCTGGCAGCATCAGCCTGGGTCTTTAAGTCACTATGATTAACAGGGCAGGATCCACCCCTCAACTCACCCAGGTGACCCGGTGGTTGTGTAACTCATCCCATTCAGACTCACACAGGTGGTCAGAGAAAGCCTTAATAAAAGCTTTGGGTAAAAGTCTGAAAGAGGTGAGTCTGTAGGCCAGGCAGCTGTCCTGGGGGGAAAATGGTCCGGAGAGTGGGCAGATCATGCAAACATCAGAGCAGCAGGGAGGCCGGCACTGCTGGTGCAGAGCAGGCGCAGCGGGGTGGGGGAGCGTGGGGTGCTTGGCAGCAGATCCTACGATGGGCAAGGCGGGTGCCAGAGGAGGGCAGGCAGCCGACAGAGGTAAGTGGCCTGGGCATCCATATGGATGTGTTGAGCAACATGGATGCCCATGGATGTGACAGTGCTGATTGGATTTAGGTTGAAAGAGTCTTGCTCTGTGCAGTATGGAGAGATGGAAGGGCCAAGGGTGGGAAGAAGAAGAGCAATGGGGAGGATCCTTTGCAAAGATCCAGGTGAGAGCCGACCTCTCGCCCCGCTGCCATGCAATTATTCCTATGAACATTCTCATCAGATCAGTCCTGTGCTTATAACCATCAATAGCTCCCTATGCCTCACGAGAACAAGTCCAAGTTTCTGAATATGGCATCCACCTACCATTCCTCCCTTATTACCCCATTCCAACTGCTTCAGCGCCCCTCTCTCTAAGTCCCCTATTCTCTCAGGACACAGTCATGCCCCCCTACCTGGGTTCTCACAATCCCCTTACATCTCTGCCAGCAGTGGGGGAGAGAGTCTGCTCTGGGAAAGGCCAAGGTGAGGACAACCACAGAGTCAGGGAGGCGTGGGAGAGGGTTTCGAAGGAGCCTCCCTACCCCAGGCTGCTCCCAGCCTTGGTCCCAGCGTGCAGGTCAGGGATTTGGGGACTTGAAGGAGTGGTTGGATTCAGAGATGCCTTCTCCTTCTCTTTGGACACTCTGGCTGGGTATGGGCAGAGGCCACCGTCTTTCTCTCCACTGTGATCCCGAGGCACAGTGGCTTCTTGGCATGGGGAGTGCCAGGAGGGTCAGACAGGGAGAAGCCAGCAGTCTTGGGAGACAACCAGGCAGACCAGTGGTCTGAAGTTTGGGAGCTGGTGAGAAAAGAGGCTGCAGCTAGTCCTGCTGGCAGGAGAGTTCCCTAGGAGGAGCTGAGGCCCACAGTGATGGAGCTGAGGGTGCTGCCCACTGCTGGGTGAGACTTTTAGCACAGAACTCACCAAGTGAGAGGCCAAGAGGCTCACCACCAGCTCCTGCTGGAGGGAAAGTGCTGGTAGGTTCTCGATGTGGCAAGATTGTGGACAAAGTGAAGAAATGAAGCATAGCAGTACAATTGAACGCATAAGGACCTTTCATTTGCCCTCAATCCTTGAAAATGACAGTTAAAAGCAAACTTAAGTTTCTCAATAATCTCCATTAGCTGAGAAAGACGGAGGGAGGGAGGGAGGGAGAGAGAGAGAAAGAGAGAGAGAGAGGGAGAGAGAGAGAGAGACCAGGAGGTGGCAGGTGGAGAGAAGAAAGATAAACACACAGAGGTGCTAACCGAGAGACCAAGGATGGGGAGGGGAAGCCCCCTCCCCCTGTGCTGGAGACTCTTTTTTTTTTTTTTTTTTTTTTCTGCAGCCTTTCACGAAATGGCATTGCCAGTCCATTTTTAGAGTTGTCAAAGTGTTTGAGATTAGGTAATCATTTACAAATTAATCCAGTCTCAAAAGGAATGAATGTGGATGAAACTTGGAAAAATTATGCTAAGTGAAAGAAGCCAGACACGAGGCTTCATAAAAGGATACATATTGCATGAGTCCATTTACATGACAAATCCAGAGTTGGAAAATCCATGGAGGCAGAACACAGATTGATGTTTGCATGGGGTGGAGAAGAGGGAGCAACCTCTTAATAGGTACAAGGTGATGGAAAAATTTTGGAATTAAATGGAGCTGGTGGTTGCACAACATCATGAATGTATGAATTGCCACTGACTTTTACACTTCAAAATGGTTAAATTCATGTTATATACATTTCATCTTGATAAAGACATTAATTCAATCAAATTCATTAAGTTCAGGTATGTCATGCAGTATGTCCTCTGTCCCTTTCTCAAAGGATTTGCACCTATGCTATGAATCTGGGGAAGAATTTATTTCATCATAGAAATCTGGTGGCTGGAACCTCCTACAAAAGCAAGTGACTGTTCCTTCCAAGCCAGATAATGCAATAAACCTAGCACAGGGAAAATAATACCTGGAGATATTAGGTATTAGGCTTGAACAGTTAAAGGTTAATCTCAGCTGCTCCCCCACCCCCTATTTTCTCCTGTGGAAAGTGAGATCCAGGGAAGTTGACAGTGTGAGAAGTGTCTGCAGCACGAGGCCGGCCCAGGGGTCCTGGCTTCTAGCCCACTCCGTTCTTCATGAACACAGAGCTTTACTCCTCACCCCATGAATATCTACTCAGACCACAGAAAAGGGGCTCTGTGGAGTCTGAGCCCACCCTGGGCTTGGTCCACTATATCCTGAACCTGGTAGCATATTACATTACATCACATCACCTGGGACTTTAAAAATATGCTGATATCTTGGATTCATCCAAGACCAATTAAACCTGCATCTCTGGAGGGGGAGCCTGGGAATTTTTAAAAGCACCTTGGGTGATTTTAATGTGGAGGTTGAGGTCCATGACTGCATTTCACCCACTAGCTTCTAGAATTTCCAATCTTTACCAGTCCTGGAGGGGCTCAGGCAACATCATCTCATAACTGAGCCCATCAGGTCATGCATATGACCTGACTAGCAACTGCCAACCATCACCTACACAGCCCATGCAGCCCAGCACCTGCACAACCCATCCAATCATCACCTGCATAGTCCACCCAGCCAGCACCTGCACAATCCACCCAGTCAGCACCTGCACAACAAGCCGAATCCTCACCTGCACAGCTCACCCAGTCAGCACCTGCACAATCCACCCAATCATCACCTGCATAGTCTACCCAGCCAGCACCTGCACAACCCACCCAATCAGCACCTGTACAACCCATCCAAATCATCACTTACACAGCCCACCCAACCATCACCTGCACAATCCACCCAATCCTCACCTGCACAGCCCACCCAGCGAGCACCTGCCTGTGACCCAAACAAACAGTCATCCCACTTGGTCTAACAATTATCTCCCAGGCACTTTACTGAGGGACCCAAACAGACAGTCACAGCCATCCCATTTGGTCTAATAGTTACCTCCCAGACACTTTAGTGAGGGTTACTGAGATGTCCTCACTATTTCTCTACTAGCCCCTTGGCTGGATCCTTTCCAAGCAGAGATGCAGAGTAGCCTTCAGCTGCACACAGCGTTCCCCTGTGAAGGACTTGCCTACTGCCCCAGCGGTCCTTGGACATAGGAGTCCTTACAGACTCTGAATGCAATCAGAGCCCTGAGTCATTAGAGCCCAGGACCCTGAAGTCTCTGTTTTTCAGGCAGACACAGAGCAGCTGCCATAGTTCAGGGGTGGGGTTTGTGCCATCAGCCATTTCCAGGAGCTGAAGGAGGTCAGAACCCTGACCACAGATGCCGCCTGGTGCTCTCAGCCACAAGACCAAGACAGCCTCCGGGGACCCCATCCCTCAAGCAAGAAGTCAAATGCAAAGGTAATCATTTCCCACATAGAACATAAAAAAATTCTTACTGAAATATCTGGCTGCAAACGTCCTCCTTTTGCTGGAAGCTGTCGGCAGCATAATGAAGCTGGCAGTCTGTGCAAATTTCTTCTGTATCCTTTTTATAAAGAACCAACCACATCCTCAAGCAGACAAGCTAATTCCTGTTTTCCAGTAACAGGAGATCCACATCTATAGAAAAGAAATATATTTAGAATGCCCTTTATCTGGTATTTTCTTGGATTTTAAGCAAGAAGCCTCGCTGTGAAGAATTAGTTCATTAAGCGTAAGTGCATCTAGGGATCTTGGAATGGCCTTGAGAAAGTCACGGGGTCTTGGGGTATCAGTTCCTCAAATCTGTAAAATGGGAACAATAGTGACAACCACTTCACAGAACAAAGAATTGAGAAGTGGAAAGAAGGGGCTTTGTGAGCAAAGCCCTCAGCACACATCGGATGCTATATTTGATTTTTTTTCCATGAGCTGACCTGGATTCAAGGGGAGCTGGGTTTCCAGAAAGCCTTAGAAATAAGTACAAACAACACTGCAAATTTGCAGTGACTTCCAGGATGCATTTATGGCCTTTGTCTGGTGGGCACAGCAGTCCTGTTAGTGGGGAGAGCAAGTCCCACAGAGGGACAGTCAAGGCCCAGGAGCACCCCATGTGAGACCCTCACCAGGCACACAGGCTGCTCATGGCATGGCTTCTCCATTCCATTTCTGGAAATTTAGCATCATTACAGCATAATTTACAGTTGTGGAGAATCAAAAAGAAAAATCCCAATTATGAAACAGCCAAGCGATATTTATGCAGCCATCAGCATCATTGACATAGTGGTCCTGGCAGTCCAAGGCAAAGGCAGGCTCCAAGGCGGTGGATACAATGTTATCTAAATGAGGGCAGCATTGATTCAGATGGAGCAGTGACTCCTGGGAGGGCATGCATCAGGATTTTCTTCCTAGCACCCTCCTTGTCTCCTCTGTTCTATTGAGCTTGCATCACATTTATTGATAGTGACCTGAAACACCTTTCAATTGCAGAGAGCATAAAAGCAGTTAAAAACCAATCACTGCTATAAAGATAAAACAAGCATAGCCAGTGCTCAGTGGCTCAGTGCAGGCTAGATCCTTCCTACACCTGGGCTTGTGGGTGCAGGAATTGGGGCTGTCACCACTGCAGGAAGGTGCACCCTGGGCTGCGGGACAGCGCTTAGTGGGGTGTGTTGGGGGAATGTCATCTTGGCCCATGCCTTGGGGATCTGTGGACAGTTCCTGCTGCTAATGTTCTCAGAAGGGAGCGCTGGAACAGCACAGAGAACGGGGCCAAACTGAGCCTCTGGGGAGTGACCAGGGATAGCTGGAAGCAGAAGGAGGCAGCAGGCGAGCACTCAACTGCTTGAAGAGAGCAGCAAGGGCCAAAACCCAAGGTGCCAGCATGTCCTTGCAACAAAGCAAGCAGTAATTTGGGTTGCAAAGGCCAGAGTGCAAGGCTGATAAGAGCCCACAGGTACAGAGGCAGAGAGGAGTGAGAGGAAGCAGCCCATCCCACGACCTGGTGTACAGGGGGCTTTGGAACTAAAACTCTAGGACAAAGTCCAGGTTTTCCATTTTCGAGTGCTTGGAATTTAGACATGGGCTAGATTTGGCAAATAAAGGTGTAGGATGCCCAGTTAGTTTTGCAGTGTAACTGTGTTCTAAATATTGCGTGGGACATAATACCTGCTAAAAAGGTATGTATAGTTGACCTGAAACACTATTCAGATTTAACTGGGTATCCTGTATTTTATCTGGCAAACGTATACCTTCTGAATATCCATTTTCTCTTTGATCAAAAAAGAAAATACCACCAGGTAAGAAACTTTCAATTGCAGACAATAAGAAAGTCAGTTAAAAAGAGGGGATTTATTGGCTCCTTGAGCAGGAAAGCCCTCATAATATGGACTTCAGGCATGGCTGGATCCAGCAGCTTGACAATGTTAACCAAGTCTGGGTTTTTTTTTCCAGTTCTCCTGTTTGCTTCTGGAATGCCTGCTTCATTCTCAACAAAGTCCCCTCATTATTAAAAAATGCTGGACACCAGCTCGCTTCAGGAACTAATACTCTTTCTTTCATGACCAACACAAAGAAAGAGCCTATCTTCCAGTGTCTCTCTCAGAAGTGCTGGGAAGCTGCCCCTCCCTACTCTCCCAAACATCTCTTCTTGCCTCATGGCCTTGGTTGGTCCACTCACCCATCCCTGAACCACCCAAACCAATGCAATGTGCTGATTGGCTAAAGCCAACCTGGTCTCATCCCAGGAATAGGGTGGCTTGGCTTCGTAAAAGCCACCTCAGCTGGTATGGAAAAGAGGTGGTTGCTAGAGTGGATGCCAGGCACTGCAACCAAGGTTGGGGAGAAGGGGTTCAAAATACAGTGCCCACAGTGAGGTTGCCCTAAGGATAAGATACATGAGACTGCCCCGCTGGTGTGGTGTGTGTGTTTAAGTGTGTGCTGTATGAGAGGAGAGAGAGGGAGAGAGAGACAGAGGGAGAGGGGGAATGTTAGTTCCTCTCCTTGGACATGCTGATTACTTTCTTTCTTTCTTTCTTTCTTTCTTTCTTTCTTTCTTTCTTTCTTTCTTTCTTCCTTCCTTCCTTCCTCTCTCTTTTCTTTCTCTTTCTTTCCTTCTTTCTTTCTTTCTCTTTCTTTTCTCTCCTCCCTTCCTCCCTTTCTCCCTTTCTCTCTGTTTCTCTCTCTCTTTCTTTCTCTCTTTCTCCTTCCTTCCTTCCTTCCATCCTTCCTCCCTTCCTCTCTCTCTTTCTTTCTCTTTCTTTCTTTCTTTCTTTCATTCTTTCTTTCTTTCTTTCTTTCTCCTTCCTTCCCTCCTTCTCTTCTCTTCTCTTCTCTTCTCTTCTCTTCTCTTCTCTTCTCTTTCCTCTTGGCCAGCTCGGTGACTCAATCTCCTTCCTGTCTCAGGCCCCTCCCACGAACTGGCCCGTGTGTGCCCGGGGAAGGTCCCTTCTCCTCACTGACCTCCACCCACACCATGGAGAGTGGATGTGTGTGTGTGTGTGGGGGGGGGGGGGGGCGGGGGACGCTGCATCAGGAGACCTCTGGTTAGGGAATTTTTATCAGGAACCACCTCTGTGACCTTTACCAACCTCAGCCTATAGTGGGGACAAGGTCCTACAGCGTGGGCCTCTCCTTTGGAAGGCTTTGGGACAGAGTTCTGCCCACCAGCTGGAGGACAGTGACCTCAGGGGGAGAAGGGACAGGAGACTGCTCTCCAGTCCCTCACCCCAGCCCTCGCCTTTCCCTCACCCACCTTTCTTTGCAGCAAGTTCAAAGGCAGGTCATACACCAGCTAAGCGGGCACAGCTGGGCACAGTTCCCGGGGCCTGCCGGGCAGCGCTGGGAAGGGCGGCAGAGAGCGCGGACTGGACGCTCGTCTTGGAATGACTCAGCCAGGAGCAGCCGCCAGCAGCATGGGCCACGCAGCAAACGGGCGCGCCGTGGGAGCTGGAGAGGCCAGGTCTTCTGGAACCAGGCCAGTGCACCCTGCCCGGGCGTCACCCCACCACGGACATTCACAATGACAGTCAGCACTTCTCAGCACACTGTGGATCACACGCATTAGCCTGGCACCTGGCAGCGCCCCGAGGTGGGCATCACGGTGGGATTGGGAGGCACTCCAGTCACAGGGTTCACCAGGGCCGAGGTGGCGACGAAAACCCGTCCCTCGGGCGTGGCAGTGGCCTGGCCACGTGCGCCCCAGGGCTTGCACCCGCATCTCCCGCCGGTGGTAAGCGGGGCCTCCAGCAGAGCGGGCGGGGCTGCTCACCTGGAACCAGGGCCAGCCGTCTCCTCCCCTGCCTCGGCCGCCCGGGGCCTGCCTGGGGCTCCTTCCTCGCCGCCCGGCGGCAGCTCTTGAGCTCCCGGCCCGCTCCTTTAGCCCCGCAGGCTCCCTGGCCGTGACCCTGTCCCCGGCCTCCGTGTGATGAGCAGGCGAGCAGGGCCGGGGGGATGCAGCCTGGGCCCCGCATCCTCAGGCAGGACGGAGCTCCCGGCTGCTCGGCGCCTCTGGGGGGGGGGGGGCGGGGGGGGGGGATGCGGCGCAGCGGGCGGTCCCAGCGAGTCAGAAGGGTGCAGCAGCCGGGTCGGGGATGGCCGGGCGAGGCTGACCCCTGCCGGGCAGCGCGGGTGGCGCCACGGGCGGAGGCGACTTCCTGGGCCCTGGTGCACGGCGCCCCCTGGCGGGCCTCGGGGAGGCGGCCTCCTGCGTGCCCGGACCGCTCGCTGCGCCTTCCCGCCTGGCTTCCGGTTACCCAACCTCATCTCGCCCGAGCCTCATCTGTAGCTCACCGTCCTGTGCGCCCTGTGCTGTTGGCAGGGCGTGTGGGATTTAGAGGGTTTTCTATACTGAGTCTTCCTCGGAGCAGGTGAATTCTGCATAGCTGGCCCAGTTCTGTGTCTTAAGTATGGGGAGAGAGTGGGGGCTGGAGAAATCACTAGCAGGGGAGGAGCCCTGAGGTTGCCGAGGGGGATCGGAGCTACTTCCCAAGGCGCCTACACCGCCCGTAGACTGGGAAACTACGGTCACAAAGGGTCAGCGCATTCCCCAAGGTCCCAGAGCCACACGCAGCATGGCTGGCATTTGAAAGTCAAAGCAGAGGAAGCAGGCAGGTGGCTCTTGTTGAACTGGCTTCCAGAGTCTGTGTTGGGCAGAGAGATCCTTCCCCGAGAGTGGAGTGGCCTCGTGCTCACCTGGGTTCAGCGTCAAGGTTCACCTGGAATCACCTGCACTCTTGTCCTTGACCAAGGCAGGGTGGTTAGCCATGGGCTGATAGCCTTGGAGAGCCTGATTCAGCCTTTGGGTAGAGCTGGGTCAGTCCAGCCTCAGGGCCATCACTCACCCGAAGCATTGTGGTAACCTGCCTGCCCCTGGAGACCCCGGGTGTGGGGCAGGGTGACCGTGGTGGAGAGTGGGAGCTGGCAGAGGTAAGGAGGCACACGTCTGCCACAGCACCAGAGCTCAGGGCGCCTGAGAAGCAAGGTCATAGCGTCCTGTTCTTGGACCCCGTCAGTCTCCACAGCTATAGGGGGCTCCATTGAAAAGAGTGTGCCAGACCTTCTCTGTCTGTGCCCTGGTGAGGGCTCACTCACTCTCCAGGCTTGCTGGGGGAGGAGGCACGAACTTCGGTGGAAAGAACAGAACTCAGGAGCCAGAGAATGGAGTTTGACTCCTGCCTCGGACACTTCTTAGCCGGGTCTCTAGGGGGCTCAGAGAGCCTGAGCCCCCTTCCTCATGTATAAAGTGAGGATAGTAATACTGCTGAATCCCTGGGTCTGTTAGAGAATGAAGCGAGGAAAGTCAGGCAGAGCACTTAACTAAGTGCCCAGCTCGCATTAAGTACACCATGCTCATGCCCATGGCCAGGATGGTGTGTTCCAGCTGCAACCTTTAGCAGGGGCCCTGGAAGTGCTTGTGTCTTCTGCTTCGTCCATCATTAGCAGCAGCAGAAGGTAGGGCAGTGTTTGCTTCTCAAACCAGGTTTCTCACACATTGAAAGATATTCTGCATTTAAATTTACATGATAAATTAAAATATAAGCCATTGGGATGAACACCTTATAATCAAATACTCCCAGGTGACCTAGTGCCTGAGTTTACCTGAGTGTTTAAAATCAAGTTGGCGACAAGGAACAGCGAACACGACTGCCTTTAATATTTAGTTAGACCCTGGTGGGGTGAGGCTCCCAGGAGTGGCTTCCCTTTGGGCCCTTCCTCTGTCCTCCCAGGTGGCTGAGGGGGACCTACAACCCTAGTCAGCAGTTGGGAATCCGTCCTCATCAGTGAGCTACCTGGCTTCCATGAAACTAGGGTCGTGTCTAGGGATCTAGTGTTTTGGAAGCTCCTGGAAATGAGGTTGGCCAAGAGGGTCTTCTGGAAATCTCCGCTCACTGAGCCATCATCCTACGCCAGTGGTCAAATTCTGCCAGAACCACACTGCAGATCATGTTTAATTAGAGTTCTTAGGGTACTTTTGTTTTTACGTAGCGACGTTGTTTGTTTTTTTCTAGTTGTTATAAGCATTGCAGGGCTATCTGTTGTTTCACGTGCTTAAATATTTAAGCCAGTCAATGCCGGAACCTAGGGATCGTTTCCACCTTCTTTTTGAAAAGGGTCACATTACTGGAAGAAGAAACCTGGAGCTGATTCACAAAAGTAGAGTAATCCTGTCTGCAGTTGAGAGTTGAAGCCACGAGGTGGCGCCCTCAGCACACTACTTGAGCTGTTGGGTTTTCCAGCGGCAATGACCAGCACGGGGACAGAGGATGTCCTGAAGAGGGGCTCTGTCCGCTTCAGGACGTCCAGGGGAGTCACCTGTGTAACACTCACAGGAAATACATGCTTCTGTGGGTACACAGCTGGGAACAGGGTGAGGCAAGTGAGTTATCTTGGGTGCAAATTTTAAGGGGCAATGAGCGCCCCTCTCCCCTCACCCTGGTCCCGGCCCTGGGCCACCGGACTGGGACATGTCTGTGAGGACCAGAGTTGGGGAGCGGCTCCCTGACACCCCAGGAGAGAGGGTGATGCTTTGACCTCAGCCCTGGTCAGGTGGGGCCTACACCACGGGGACGCTAAAGCCCCTATTCTGATCCAGAGGCTGTGGCCGGAATAAACGGATGTACTTTCTGGGAGGGGATTAAGGGGATGGACGAGGTGCTGCCCCATCCCTATTCCCACTATGAATTGGAGCCACAGGGACATGGAGGGTGTGGAGCTGAGCCGAGTGCGTCCCTGGAGTGCCCTTTCCTGTCTGCACTCGGGCTGGGCCAGCCTCCTGTGGCTCCTGCACATGGCAGCCCCCCTCAGCTGGAGGAGCCACAGTGGAGCAGGCGTGGAGTCCGTGGCACCATGGCAGGGGGTCTCTGTCCAGGGCCTGGGTACTCGGTGACACTGGGAGAGAATGCAGCCTGCAGCGTGGCCTCGGAAACTGGAATAAGAGAGCTGACCTATGAAGGAGGCACGGGAAGCTGGGTGCAGAGATGACCGAGAAACTGGCAAACATTTTGGTAAACCAGAGCACCATGCTGCGTGAGTGAGGAGTAACCAAGGTGGAAGTGTTAAGGATGAGGTGGAACGAATATTCATACCATACAGTAACTAACACTGAACACAGTCACCTGGAAGAGAAGACTGGGGAGAATCGGGACATTAAGGCTCCTGGGCACTTGCGGTTTTTACTCCGGGTCAGCGCTGTCCAACAGGGATATAGTTTGAACCACGTCTATAATTAAACGCTTTCTGGTAGCCATATTAAAAAAGAAACAGGTGAAATTGGTTTAATAACATATTTTATTTAGGGCAATATATGCAAAATACTATCATTTCCACATATAATCATTTATAAATATTATTTATTGAAACATTTTGTATTCCTTTTTTTATACCAACTCTTTCAAATCCGGTGCATATTTTACATTTATAGCATATTCCAATTTGGATACTAAATTTCTGCTGCAAATATTTTATCTGTATTTAGAGTTTACAAAATTTAGAGTTAAAAAAAGATTTTCAAGTTGTTCTAAACATGCGTTTTTAGTAATTGGATTGTGTATCAATTTCTAAATTAAGATTAAATAAAATTGAACATTTAAGTGCTCGGTTGATCTAATTTCAAATGTGATTAGTGGCCCTACTGTATTGGATAGTGCAGTGGTAGGCATTTAAAAGTAAAGTATTCATGTTAAAAATGTTAAGAATAACAAGCAAAGAATAGAAGTAGAATATATAACTTCTAAACCAGTAGAGGGGGCTGCATACAAAAAAAATCCCGATCAATTCAACAGAAGGGGAAGTGAGAAAACAATAAAACAAAAATTATGATAAATAGAAACACAAAAGAAGAAGATAAAAATAGGTATAAATGCCATAAATTTATCAGTAACAGTAGTAAATGTAAACAGATTAATCTCACACATTAAAAGACAGAAGTACTTAGGTTGGAATTTTTAAAAATCCAGTTGTAGCTGCTTGTGAAGAGACATCTAAAATATAAGAACACAGAAATGTTGAAAATAAATGAATGGAAAAAGATATGTGAGACAAATAGGAATTAAAATAAAACTAGTGTAGTGAACTCATATTAATATGGACAAGACAGACTAAGGAAAATCTTTATTAGGGATAAAGATTGTCATTGCAAGATTATAAAAGAAACAATTCATAGAGATACAACAATCTTGAGCCTATATACACCTAGCAACATAGCCTGGAAGGAAAGAAAACAAATAAAAGTCTGTGACATAATGTGAAGAATTTGAAAATTCACAATCTTAGTGGAAATTTTATGATAACACTCTCAGAAACTGATAGACCAAGTAGAACACTAGCAACAAATTAGTAGAGAAAGAGATTTTGAACAATGCATTAAGAAAACCTAATATAATAGATACATGTAGAAGCCTGTACCCATGGAATATTTATAGAAATTGACCATGTACCACTTCACAAGAGGGTTCAATAAATAAACACTAAAGAATCAATATTACTCAATGTTGTCTAACCTTGATATAATAAAATTATACAACAATAAGAAGACTAAAAAACATACATCTAAAAATCATACATCTAAACACCGAAAAATACATTGTAATTTGTGTCTAAAAGGAGATATTGGAATAGAAATTACAAAATATTTAGAATCAAATGCAACATAGAACCACAATTTAAGACTTGTTGTACACAGCTAACATGGTACTTTGAAGGAAATTTATGGCATTAAATGTGTACATTAGAAAATAAGAAAGGTTGTAAATTAATTAACTGAAAATTTAACTAAAGAATTAAGAAAAAGATAGCATGTGATGACAGTTCAGCTTTTATTTTCTCTCCTAAATTTAGCTTTGAAGGGGAAATGGGTTCTCAATGTTCTACACAATTTCTAACTGTTGAGGGTTCCCAGGTCTTAGACTTGAGCCTTTTCTCTCCCAGGTAATCTTATCCATTCCTACAGTTTTAAAACACCATCTGTGCTGATGAGTCTCAGTCTCGAGACTAGAGCTCACCTCTAAGCTACAGGCATCCTTTTCTGACTGCTCCGTTACCCTCACCCTATGGCATCTCACACGTAACACGTTCGAAACATATGCTCCAATCTGTCCCAAGCTTGTTTCTCCTCTCCATGCCAATAAATGTTGCCACCCACGTTAACTTTAAGCAAAAGATGTAGGGGTCATTCTTGAGTTTATCTGATGACTTATTCTGTAAGCCTTGTAGTCACTTCTATTTCCAAGATACAACCCAAGTCCATCCTTTTTTCTCTCTTTCCACTATTACCACCCTAGATGTGCCACTGCCATTCTTGCTTGGCCTCATTCAAGAGCCTCTGCACTGGCTTCTATGCATGCTCTATTGTCCCCAGGCCATTCTCCATGCAGCAGTAAAATGTAAATTGGGGCATGCCATTTCCCTGCATAAACACCTCAATGGCTTCTCATCATGTTGAGCCTCAAGTCCAAACTTCCTGCTGGATCTTAGAAGGCCCTCCCTGAGAGGTCCTTGCCTGTTTCTCTAGTTTATCTTGGTCCTGTTCATGCTCAATCCCCCTACCCTGCCACTGCCACCTTGTTGGCATTTATGCTTTCAGCATACTGGCCACTCAACTCCTTTCTTGCCCCAGGGCTTTTGTACCTGCTTCCCACTTCTTGAAATGCTCCCCACTTCTTGAAATGCTCCCCCACACTTCTTCAGTAAACACTTCTTCTTTTTTTTTTTTTTCTTTTTCTAGACGGAGTCTCACTCTGTTCCCCAGGCTGGAGTGCAGGGGCGTGATTTCCGCTCACTGCAAGCTCTGCCTCCTGGGTTCACGCCATTCTCCTGCCTCAGCCTCCCAAGTAGCTGGGACTACAGGCGCCCACCACCACGCCCGGCTAATTTTTTGTATTTTTAGTAGAGACGGAGTTTCACTGTGTTATCCAGGATGGTCTCGATCTCCTGACCTCGAGATCCGCCCGCCTTGGCCTCCCAAAATGCTGGGATTACAGGTGTGAGCCACCGCGCCCGGTCCAGTAAACACTTCTTAGTTTGTTGAATGAACAAATACATACTAACCTGTTAGCACAGGGATTTTTATCCTTATTTCATAGCTGAGGACTGCAAGGCCCAGAGGGGCTGACTGTAATTTTTCAAGACATTTTTGGTTAAAAAAAAAAAAAACCTAATGGTTTTAGCAAAACCCTTGAGATGACCTCTGAATGGACCATCATGGATCATGTGCACAGACCTGAACCCATCGTTGCAGCTGGGGCAGGGAACAGTCTCATATGGTGGGCCTTGGTCATGCATCCATCCCACTGCTGAGGGTGGAATCAGTTCCAACCAACACACATGGTGTGAGGATGAGTGAGGGGAGGCTTCTAAAGCAGCTTTATTTGTAATAGCCTCAAACTGGAAACAGTCAAGATGGTTAAACAGGTGAATGGTTAAACACCCTGTGCACAGCCATGCCATGGATTCTATCTAGCAATGAAAAGGAAAGGACTATGAATGCTTGCAGCCACTTGGGTGGATCTCAAGGACATTACGTTTAGCGAAAAAAGCCAGTCCCAAAAGGACATAGGCTGCATTATTTCATGTATATAACATTCTCTAAATGAGTTGGAGAGCAGATGAGAGGTGGCCAGGGGTTAGGGACAAATGGGGCAGAAGGCAGGTGTGACTACAAGGGACAGCATGAGGGATAGCTTACAGCCACAGGATAGTTCTGCACCCTGGTGGTTACATAAATCTGCATGTAATACAACTGGAGTGATAGACATTGCATCAATGCCAGTTCCCTGGTTTTGATATTGTACTAAGTTATGTAAGATAGAATCACTGAGAGACACTGAGTCAAGGGGATCTGGGACCTCTTTGATTATTTTTGCAACTTCCTGTGAATCTGCAAAAGAGTAGGTACTCACTAGTGGCAACAATATACATTACCAGTCTAACATGTGTACACATAGATAGGTCTTGTTAGGATGTTGAAACTGTGCCAATGCATGTTATTATTACTACAGTTTTAAAGATTTCTCTAAAAAATCAAAAAGCAAAATGTATATGATAATTAAAGAATACAAAAAATTAAAAAACATTATTTGATAAAATTAAATTCTTATTGTGATTTTAAAAATAAAAAATAAATCTAAAAATTAAACTGTTAGCATTTCTGGTGTTTGTTTTGCATCTAGTGGGTGCTATGAAGAATCTATGTCATACTTCACGCAAGTGACATTATACATCCAGAACAACACATATGCATCTAAGAGGGAGTGAGCTGTTTAATAGCATGAAATATTTCCAGGCTGCAATGAAGAACCATTGTGAATTTTGCAATGATATATAAGTACCTATGAAACTATGAATTTGAACTCAAAGAGCAGAAAAAAAAATACATGTCTGGCACTATTCAGAGATGAGATTTCTTATGGAGAACCTACTACATTTAGGTGATCTGAGAGGAAGCCTCTGGAAGTTTAGATTTTTTTCCTATTGCTTCCACGTTCAATTCCTCCTAGACATGGAAGCAATGTTCCTGCTGGCAATGGCACAACCCATAAACCTAAGCTGATCCTGCAAGCCAAATCCATAACATTTGGATCCAATCACATTTTCTTTTGAGGACATACATAGGGCAAGAGATGAGGTGCTGGACAATGCCAGTCCAGTGAGCAGGTGTGCAGGGTCAGGGCCATGGGTCATGCAGGGCAGCACTGGGCACACCTCTCGAGGAACAGAGGTGCCCATTCCATACATCCATGAATAGATGTGTGCTGTTTGGGTTCTCATGGGCCCTCAAAGTGTAGAGTCCAAGATAGGGCCCTCCTTGGTTTCCTGGACAGGTAGCATCTTAGTTCTTATGTGGGTATGAAGTCACTGCTGACTCCATGGCCATGTGTCACCAGGTTTACACCTTACCCTCCAGCAGGCTGAGCTGTCAGAGCATATGGAGGCTGCCTTGCTCACCTTGGTCTTTCCACTCAGGAATAGCACACAGATGCTGGGGCTCAGAAGCTTTTGGGGAAATGAGCTGCACAGGATTCTCTGTGGGTCCACTGGGAGCCCAGCTCTGTGGTCTCTCCCTGTGAAGTAGAGCACAACCTCGCTGCAGGGAGACTTCTGGGTTTGCTGCTCCTGGGCCAGGGATCTGCTACTGCAGTTATGCCTTGGACTCCGTGCCACTCTGAAATGCAAGGGCAAAGACTTCAACCAATGCTGCTTCCAGACCAGCTTATCCTAGTGTTACTTTTGGAAAATGCTTTCTTCTTGTTTTTTAAAAAATTTATCAAGCATTAGTTTCTTTAGAGATGGCCCTCCAAATCCCTTCCCTGTCAGTGTGCTCATGCCCTTCCTCCTGCCAAGAGGTGGAAATGATGCTACAGTAGTTCTGCATGTAGACCCTAAGAAGCCTGGAAGCTTCACTGTCTTTCTCTCTGGAAGCCAAGCTGTCATATTTTATAAGATTTGCACTGTCTAACGAATGATGAGAGGGCATGGAGGGAAAGAGAGTCTGCAAAGGAAGAGCACTGAGGCACCAGTCTTGTGAATAAAGCTTCCCTTGGATATTCGAGCTCCCAGCCCCCTAGTGAATGCAGCCAGGTGGCTCTCAGTCCATGCTGTGTGGAGCAGAAGAACCCCCCAGCCAAGCCCTGCCTGCTTCCTGTCCCACAGAATTGTGAGAAATAATAAGTAGTTGTTATTTCAAACCACCATATTTTGTTATGTAGCAGCAGATATCTGAAACACTCCTCAATAAAGCTTGGGAAAACTTGACTGTTAAATGTTTGATTGAGCACCTACTATTTCTTAGGTCTGTACTAGGGGCTATGGCTATGGAGATAAACAAGAAAAATTCCCTGACTCAAGAGCTCACTAATCAAAATGGCAAGGAGGAAATTATAACAGAGCAATTTGCAGAATGGATGAGCAATAGGAAAAGTGTAGGGGACTGTAGAGGACTAGGAGGGAGGGAGAATCCTA
The DNA here is from genome assembly GCF_000001405.40 of Homo sapiens. Taxonomy (NCBI): domain Eukaryota; kingdom Metazoa; phylum Chordata; class Mammalia; order Primates; family Hominidae; genus Homo; species Homo sapiens. Next base: position 48,665,210 of record NC_000010.11, read on the forward strand.
TCCCACAAAGGCAGGATCAAGGACTGAAATCTCCCCCAGTGCCACCACCCAGCAACAACTACTGGGGGCAGTTTTTTTTTTTTTTTCAGTTGCAAGATTTAATAGAGTGAAATAGAGTGAAAACAGAGCTCCCATACAAAGGGAAGGGACCCAAAGGCGGTTGCCGTTGCTGGCTCGAATGCCTGGGTTTATATTGCAATCCTTGTCCCTCCCACTGTGCTCTCAGGCAATAGATGATTGGCTATTTCTTTACCTCCTGTTTTTGCCTAATTAGCATTTTAGTGAGCTCTCTGATTGGTTGGGTGTGAGCTAAGTTGCAAGCCCCGTGTTTAAAGGTGGATGCGGTCACCTTCCCAGCTAGGTTTAGGGATTCTTAATCGGCCTAGGAAATCCAGCTAGTCCTGTCTCTCAGTCCCCTCTCTCAACAGGAAAACCCAAGTGCTGTTGGTGAGGTTGGCTGATGACCACTCTAACTGCTTCCTGCTGAACTGGGGCATAGTAGGGGTTGTGCAGTTGAGATTTCCTCAGGAGGAGTGACTTCGATGTCATTAACACCAGAGCATGGGCTAGCAGGCCAGTCTAGGGGTCCGCGGGAGATCTTAGACATGGACTGCATCTGGGGTTCCATTTGAAGAACGATTTGTAGTTTTACAGTTTTAATTCTGGAAGACACAAACTTAACAAGGCGGTTAAAGATACAGGGATTGAAATGTATGGCCTGCAGTGCAGGGGATTACTTCTTTGGCACACTTCACAGGCCCTGACTATCTGCTTGATAGTTTTGAAAAGGCCTGGTTCAGTAAATAATAATTTGGCCATCTGATGGGTGCTATCGATGCCTAAGTGGAAGGTTTGGTGAAGGCTTTTAAGTAATTTTATTGGTTAGCTCCAGGCAAAAGTATTTTTCCTTCTTCAGTGGCTAGCCATCTGGAGGGGAGGAAAGTATGTCCTTGTGAGGTTCCTTATTCTATTTTTCCTGCTGAATACTGGGGCTTGGTTTCCCGGAGGGGATTACCCTGTACTAGGGGCCCTTCCATAAGCATTTCTAATGGAGGGTCCTGCCTTGCGGCTCTTTTGACTTTAAGATCCGCTTGGCGGTTCCTTTCTATTTCCCTTTCCTTTCCTTTCTGGTGACCCCAACAGTGTAAGACTGCCACCTCTTTAGGTTTCTGTATAGCCAATAGTAATCTCCTAATGGCTTCCTGATGTTCTATAGGTGTTCCCTCGGAAATTAGGAATTCCCTTTCTCTCCATATTGCTGCATGGGCATGGAGGACTAGGTAAGCAGACTTAGAGTCTGTATATATATTTACCCTTTTCCCTTCTCCTAATTCTAGTGCCCGAGTGAGGGTTATTAGTTCTGCCAGCTGAGCACTAGTTCCTGGAGTGAGGGGATTACTTTCAAGTATTCCTTTATTACTGACCACTGCAACCCCTGCTTTTCAAAGTCCTTTTTCTACAAAGGGACTTCCACCAGTATACAAGTTGAGGTTGGGATCAGTCAAGGGAACCTCTAAAAGGTCCCCTCAAGTGGCATAGGTTTGAGCGATTACTTGTTGACAGTTATGTTCTATCTTTTCTTCATTGTCTGGGACATATGTGGCTGGATTAAGAGTTGCACAAGTGCGCAGTTGCAGCACTGGCCCTTCAAGTAATAGAGCCTGATATTTAAGTAAATGGTTAGCTGACAGCCACAAGTCTCCTTTAGCAGTGAGTATGCTGTTCATTTCATGAGATTTCCACACAGTAAGATCTCTTCCCTGTATTATTTTAACTGCTTCAGATACTAAGACTGGGCAGTTTGTAGCATTTCTCTCCAGCGTTTTGTCAGTGGATTGATTTGCCATGGATGCAGTGACAAAGCTGGTTATAAATAATGTTGAAGACTCACTATGTGCTGGGTGCTGGGAGCCATTCCACTGCTTCCCTTGAAACCACTCAGAAAGAAGGCTACTGCTGTAGTACCCATTGGATAGATGAGGAAGCCGAGGCTTACAGAACTGAAGGTCAGGCAGCCAGTAAGGCACAGAGGCAGGACTCCCACCCAGGCACTTCAACCCCAGAGCCGGTGCCTGCAGCCAGACTGCTCACCTGCTTTCTAACTTAACATTATAAATTAAGCATATCCTTACGGTATTAAAAATGATGTCTGAAACAGCATATTACTCACTGTATACCATGTTACTTTAAAGTCTAAGATTGAACACTTCAGATTATTTCCAATATGCAGAGAGCACTTTTCCACATGAGGAGTTACTTTTGTGTTTATTTATGGGCCCATATTCTTCTATCATTTAAAAAATGGTTTGAAGGCCGGGTGTGGTGGCTCACTCATGTAATCCCAGCACTTTGGGAGACCGAGGCGGGCAGATGGCCAGGTCAGGAGATCAAGACCGTCCTGGCTAACACCGTGAAACCCCGTCTCTACTAAAAATACAAAAAATTAACCAGGCGGGGAGGTGGGTACCTGTAGTCCCAGCTACTTGGGAGGCTGAGGCAGGAGAATGGCATGAACCCTGGAGGCAGAGCTTGCAGTAAGCCGAGATCGCGCCCTGCACTCCAGCCTGGGCGACAGAGCAAGACTCCGCCTCAAAAAAAAAAAAAAAAAAAGGTTTGAAGCAAATGTATAAGAAGCCTTCTCAATGTTGGATCATTTTCTTAGGATAAATTCACAGAAGGGTAAATAACAAATATTTTAATTTTGGGGTTTTTCACAAGAAATTTCTGGAAGCAAAAGGCAATTGATCTTGGTGGGTGACAAAGTTACGCCCATCAATATTTACAGCAATTATCCCCACATTTCACAGTTTCTCCGGAAGCACAGAGAGGCACTTCTGCAGAGGACCCAGCCAGTTATAATGAAACTGCCCGTGAATTTCTTCTCAAAACTTGAAGTGAATCTGCGGCTAAGGTTTGAGAATTCAAATGTGCCCCCTGGGCTGGTCCTTCAGCAGACGAGGGCAAAAAGCAGAAGTGGCTTCACCTCCCTGCCCTTCCCCATACCTCAGAATTGGGCTAGCTTTTGGTAGGCCCTGCTGCGGGTGGGTGGCATGGGTCATTTGAGCCACACGTCTTCTTGGTATTTGGTGGTGGGGATGGGGACTCCTCCTTAAGAAGCAAATATTGCCACTGTTTTGCCTTCCCTGGGCCTGATGTCATCCCAAATGTCGCAACTGCTCATGAGGGCAGGCAGGGAGGGTCCTACAACCCCTATTTATAGATGCAGAGGCTCTGGAAATAACCTGCCCTACCAGCTGCTTCTCACCCTGCTTCTCTGGTGATGAGTCCTTCTTATGTTACCAATGAGTCTGAAAACCCCTGGGACCCTATTGGCCCCAGAGCCAGGGAGGAAGAAGCATTCCTCTTCATTTCCTCCTACTCTCTTATGTGAGGTAGTGGTAAGATCAGACAAACCTCTGATATAGTGGTGTGCTGGTAAATGCTTAACCCACCCCTAAAAAAAAGAATATAAATATATATATATATATACATATTTATGATTGTTATAAATTTTACTGCTATAAAGGATGTGTAATGAACACTTTACAAATAATAATAATAAAACAGGCAATACTCTATGTTGTAAATTCCTTATAGTTGATTGATTCTAACAGAATGCTTTCACTGATTTTTGCCAAACATTGGTATCCCTAGCCAATCTATGGTCTCAATTTAACCATTATTTGACAAATGGAGTTGCATTCCAATCCACAGCACTTTATCTAATACATTTATAGTCATGAAATCTGATGTGTAATCTGCTGCTAAGTGATGTCTCCTTCCCATACAAACTATATTGATTATCCTGCAGCCACTTTCAGATTCAGCACTAGCTTATATTGGAACTTCACTCATTTGTCAACGGGTGTGAGTGACTTTGTTTACTTGGATAATAGTTTTCAAATATGGGAAAAATATTATCTCAATCTTTGCACTATTCACAATGCAAGGGCTATAGACATAGCACAATTTAAGTTTAATCTACATTATTAACCTCCCTTTTCTGAAGTCTAACGAACAAAACAATAAACCAAGCCCTTGTTTGTAGGGTTTTCCAATTTCCATGGTGTAAATTCTCCCTCTGTGGACAATTGGAAGCTACCAACATGACATCCCTACATGCAGAGTTGGGAAGGAACATGCAGTAGCCACCAGGATAGAGGGTTTCCACCACTCAGAACTACAGGCGTGCCTCGCCTATTTAGGTAACAGCAAAATGTAATAGAGTGGTGCATTTTGAGTATTAATTACCTTTGTATAATAACATAAGTTATTAAATTATATGTTTATATAATTTAATTTTAGTTTTAATGGCACAGAAGTATCTTTCTTCTTTCTGGATCAACCACATAGAATTTCAATTCTACTGTGAATATTATCTTTGAAATCACAATATTGTCAATGCTATATATTTGCTTTCTAGTTTTTAGAGTTGACCTATAAACAAAGCAAGTAAGACACTTTTAGTTAGCTAATACAAATATTTTAAACCATGATGATATAAAAATAATAATATAGAAAACAAAAGATGGGGAGGAGCAAGGGAGGAAGAATAACTACATCAGTACAGATTGAATGTCCTTTATCCAAAACGCTTGGGTTTGTAACACAAAGGATAAATGCTTGAGGGGATGGGTACCCCATTCTCCATGATGTGATTATTTCACATTGCATTCCTGTATCAAAACATCTCGTGTACCCCATAAGTATATATACCTACTATGTACACCCAAAAATTAAAAACAAAGAAAATTAAACAAAACAAAATGCTTGGAACGAGAAATGTTTTGGATTTTTGATTGTTTTAGATTTGGGGATATTTGCACCATGCTTACTGGTTGAGCATCCCTAATCTGAGAATCTGAAATCTGACACAGCCCAATGAGCTTTTCATGTGAATATTATCTCAGGGCTCAAAAAGTTTCAGATTTTGGAGCATTTCAGATTTTCATTTTGGATTAGGGATACTCAACCTCTATTCTTGTCTTTCATAGTTGTGAATGCCATCTTAATTTGATACATAAAAAAGTGAATATACTATTTAAGGTCATGAAGGAAATTATTGAAAGGTATGTAAAATATAATGAACAGAGTTGAAAAGGCAACATTTAGAAGGATAAAATAAAAATATAATTACAAATCAGGAGTAGAAGAGAGTAAGAAGGAGATAGTGTAAGCACTCTAATTTTCTTATTTTTTATGTCTGAAGGCCCAAAGATATTGTCAAAAATTCATAAATCCTAAAGAAGTTTATTAGTTGAAGTTATAATGAAGATCAGAATATCTAAAAACAACTACTCTTGGTGATTATTTGGGCAAATGGAAAATGGTCAGGGGCAAAAGGGAAACTTCTTTTTATGTTCTTATAAACTGACTTTTGTTTTCCAGGTGCAAGTATTATTTTATAAGTAAAAAGAAACCAATATCTACTATTAAAAATGCAACTTCTGCTTCCTCCAGCCTGGACCTTATTTACTTTGCAGTAATCCCTTTTACAGTATATTTTGATTTCCACTATATGTAGAAACATCCCAGAAGGCCTGAAGTCACACTTAATTCCTGTGTCCAGTTCTCATGGCCCTTCACCTTCCCCTCCACCAGCGGGGGGTGGGGGTGGGGTGGGGGGGTTGGGGGGGGAGCAGAATTCTCCTGTTACACTGGAGAGCTGCCACATTTTGTGCCTGTCTACATCACAGTAATTCACAAAGTGCTAAACATTGCACTTTGCCATATGGTACATTCTTATTTTTCAATTCTCATTACCTCACATGTATAAACAAACAAACAAACAAAAAAGGCTTCAGGAAGTTCAGTGCCCTGCTCAGAGTCCTGCAGTTTAGTGGCTTACACTGGCAGGTTCCTTCTCTCCTGCAGCAGAGAATCAAGACAGAGAATCCAATATCCCCAGTGTATCCTCCCCCAGAAAATGTGGTGTTCCCCCGACAAAAAGAAGTCAATGTCTAATGTTCCCATCTTGTCTCATAATCCCTTTCAAAAAGGAGGAATTGCTGTCTGAGAGGGTATTTTGTTCCCCAGTGACTGAGGGCAGGGCAGGGGCAGGGAAGGCTTCCCCTCTCTTCTGGCCCTAGAGGCCCTGTAAATGCACTGTGCAGTCACTGACGTGCCCTCAGGCAGGGCCCTGGCGGGAAGGGGGCTGTTCCAGGTCTACCAGCTTCACACCCTTATTCTATTGAATTCTCATGAAAACAAAATCTGTGAAACAGCTGTGATCTTCATTTTCTGATGAGGGAACAGAGCCTCCGTGCCCCCGAGATCACTGGTATGACTCCAAAGATTTTCCCTCTTGCCCCCGCTCCAGCAACGGGTGGCGGGACCAGGACCTGTCCCTTCCGCCTGGGAACGGTGCCCTGGGGCAGGGTCCCCAAGGCTCCTCTCCACCGTGGAGGCTGAGGCCAAGCCCACGGCACAGGGCACAGGCTCTGGCGGGGCGTGTTCGAGGTTGGGCGTCAGCGGAGGCCGCAGGGGCTCGGGCGAGGCAGCCACTGGAGCGCGGAGCCGGCCCCACCTGCAGGGCCCGGGCTTCCCCTCTGACAAAAGCTGCTGTCGGGAGGGGCTGTAAAGCAGCAGAGAAGACCAGGCGAGGGATCTGCACCAGAGGAAGGGAGGCAGGCCTTTCCTGTATTTATCTCTGCAGGAGCCGGGAGGGAAGCTCCTCCACGGAAAAGTGTCAAACCTTGCCCAAGCTCGCAGGTCCACGAGCGAAGCCCCCACCCCCTCTTCCCGCGCTGCTCCCAGGGGGCTGCCAACCTCGACCTCACGCAGCACTCTGTCCCCACCAGCCCCAGCCTCCCAGGCCCAGAGAGCGTGGCCCATAGTCCCCTTGGCGTCTTCTCACTCAGCGTGCCCCCTCCTGTGTGTCCCTGGGCAGTCTCTCAATGACCCGCTGTAAGGGGCCCTCTTAGGGGCAGGAGCGTCTGGCTCCTGTCCCTGGCTGAGACCCGTCTAGGCTGCCCCGCGCAGGGCCTCTCCCAGGTGCCTCCCTGGTTGTGGCGGGAACAGCCAGGTTTGTTCACTGGGAGCTGGAGTCCTGGCCTTGGGCGATTGCTCTGACTAGGGGGCTGACCCCCACTGACCCAGTCACCTGATCACCATCACCGGCCAGATCCCACCCCACGGCACTTGGGTGGTGCAGGTGTTCACTGGGCCAAACTGAGGTGCATGAGCAGAAAGCATCTCTCTCCGCAGGGCTGGGGTGGATGCCAACACTGGCCCCTGGGGTTGTTGGTGAGAAACCTCGATCAGCAAGAGGCCAGGGAGTGCTGGAGGCTGCTCTGGGGCTTCCGCCCGCTGGCCGCTGAGGTGAGATATTCAAATATCGGTGGGCGGGTTTTTCCCAGGTTAATCCTCTCTTAACTGACTGCACAGCCCAGAGGGAAATAGAAGAATCTCCAGGCCACCTTCAGAAATGAAGATGGATTCCTCGCAGAGTGCTAGCAGGAAGATACCTGATGGGCCGTCTAGTTCAACAGATTCCTCCCCATTCCACAGACAGCCCAGAGAGGAGAGGCACAAAGGATAATAATGACAAAGAATAGACATGACTGTGATCCAGCAGCTACATTTGCCGTGTGCCCACTTGCGTGCCAGGCTTTGGGCCAGCTGCTCTGTGCACTTGCTTTTCATGATTCTGCCAGGTATGGATCGATGTACCCACTTTACAGATGATAAAACCGAACTCCAAGGAGAGAATGATATGAACAGAAGCTATCTCAGAGCTGGAGGCTTGGTTATGCTCCTTACTCACCCCACCACATTGAATCCCTCAACAAGCTGTCAGCAGCGACGTCATTAGTTTCATTTCACAGATACACCTCTGAAATGAACTCGTGTTTTACTTTGGTCTCCCCTGGTTTTCCAGGCCTCCAAGCAGCCTCTGGGGCCACCTTCCCTGCTGGCCAGCTGTGTCCTTTCCTGCTGGAACCACCCAGACCCAGGCTCCCCATGCTCATCAGCCTTGAGCCTAGCATCTCCTTGGGACTGACCTGCTGGGTGGCCACTCCCCCAGAGCCACCTACTCACTATTACCTGCTAGATGCCTTGTAAATTCTCTTTATTTATTTATCTTTGGGGGTTTGTATGATTTTGTTTGTTACTTGTAAACAGTGGATTCATTTGACTTTTATCAAGTCATGTAAATGGATCTAATTTTATTTTTTGGTATATGTCTACCTGGTTATCCCAACATCATTTATTAACAGTCCATCTTTCCCCACTGATTTGAGATGCCACCTTTCTGTATGATACATTTTCACAGTTGAGGCTATTTCTGGATTTTCTATTCTGTTTTGTTGTTCTCTGTTTATTCCTGTGACACACTGTTTCCATGATAAAAGACTTAGGGCCAGGCATGGTGGCTCACACCTGTAATCCCAGCACTTTGGGAGGCTGAGGCGGGCGGATCATGAGGTCAGGAGTTCGAGACCAGCCTGGCCAACATGGTGAAAACCTGTCTCTACTAAGAACACAAAAATTAGCCGAGCGTGGTGATGGGTGCCTGTAATCCCAGCTACTTGGGAGGCTGAGGCAGGAGAAACACTTGAAACCAGAAGGCGGTTTCAAGTGAGCCCAGATCGTGCCACTGTACTCCAGCCTGGGCAACAAGAGTGAAACTCTGTCTCAAAAAAAAAAAAAAAAAAAAGTAGAGCATGTTTTAATTTCTGAGAAACCCAGCCTTCCCTCCTTGCTCGCATTCTCTCTCTCTTTTCTTTCTTTTTTTTTTTTATTTTTGAGATGGAGCCTCACCCTGCTGCCCAGGCTGGCGATTTCGGCTCACTGCAACTTTCGACTGCTGGATTCAAGTGATTCTCCTGCCTCAGCCTCCTGAGTAACTGGAATTACAGGTGCATGCCACCATGCCCAGCTAATTTTTTGTATATTTAGTAGAGACGGGGTTTCACCAATTTGGCCACGCTGGCTTCGAACTCCTAATCTCAAGTAACCCACTCGCCTCAGCCTCCCAAAGTGTTGGGATTACAGGCATGAGCCACCGTGCCCAGCCTCTCTCTCTTTTTTCAAAGTAACTTTTATTATGGAAAAAAATTGAACATCTATAAACTGAGTATAGTAATATAATGAACATCCAGCCTCAACCTTGATTAACATTTTGCCATTTTTGTTTCATTTATGCCCACTCCTTCCCCCACTTAATTATTTTCATAGTTTTTCAATGTACAATTTTATGCATGTTGACATGCACAAACCTTATCTGTATGGTTCTGACAAATTTGTTCCACAATTGTAACACACATTCCTATGAAAATATTAAATATTTTCATCACCTCACAAAGTTTATGCTTTTATCCAATCAATAGTCCCTTCCCAGGGCAACTGCTGTTCTGATTTTTTTTTTCACCATAGGTTAATTTTGCCCGCTGGAGAATTTCATATGAATGGAATCACAGTATGGACTTTTTTGTGTACAACCACCTATAGTCAAGCTTAATGCCTGTGAGAGGAATCCATGTTGAACAGTGTATCAATAGTTGGATTTTTTTTTTTACTATAGAGTAGAATTTCACTGTATGAATATACCATGGTTCATTTATTCATTACCCATTAATGAATCTGTGGGTTGTTTCTGGTTTTTAGTTAGTATGAATAAAGTCATTGTGAATATTTATGCATAATCTTTGTGTGGACATGTGTTTTCATTTTTCTTGGCTGTGTCTGGTGGTGAAATTTGTGGGTCACATGATAAGTATATATTTTACTTTATAAGAAACTGTTAAATTGTTTATGAAAATGGTTGCATCATTATACATTCCTGTAAGCAATGTAGGAGCATTCTAGTTGCTCCAGTTGCAACATTTAATGTTGACAGTCTTTAAAATTTTAGCCATCTAAACGAATGTGCTGAGGTATCTCAGTGTGGTTTTAGTTTGCACTTCCTTATTAATTAATAATGTTGAGCACATTTTCATGTGCTTTTTAGCCATTTGGAGAAATATACCATACATATGATATATAAGTGTATATATACCATACATATGATATATAAGTGTGTATATACCATACATATGATATATAAGTGTGTATATGCCATACATATGATATATAAGTGTATATATGCCATACATATGATATATAAGTGTATATATACCATACATATGATATATAAGTGTATATATACCATACATATGATATATAAGTGTATATATCTCATATATATGATATATAGGTGTATATATCTCATATATATGATATACAGGTGTCTATATTCATATATATGATATATAGGTGTCTATATCTCATATATGATATATAGGTGTCTATATCTCATATGTATGATATATAAGTGTCTATATCTCATATATATGATATATAGGTGTCTATATCTCATATACGATATATAGGTGTACATATCTCATATATATGATATATAGGTGTACATATCTCATATATATGATATATAGGCGTATATATCTCATATATATGATATATAGGTGTACATATCTCATATATATGATATATAGGTGTACATATCTCATATATATGATATATAAGTGTATATATCTCATATATATGATATATAAGTGTATATATCTCATATATGATATATAGGTGTATATATCTCATATATATGATATATAAGTGTATGCATCATATATATGATATATAAGTGTATGCATCATATATATGATATATAAGTGTATGCATCATGTATATGATATATAAGTGTATGTATCATGTATATGATATATAAGTGTATGTATCATGTATATGATATATAAGTGTATGTATCATGTATATGATATATAAGTGTATGTATCATGTATATGATATATAAGTGTATGTATCATGTATATGATATATAAGTGTATGTATCATGTATATGATATATAAGTGTATGTATCATGTATATGATATATAAGTGTATGTATCATCTAGATGATATATATATAAGAATATATATAAGTATATATATATCATCTAGATGATATATAAGTATATATATATCATCGATGATATATAAGTATATATATATCATCGATGATATATAAGTATATATATATCATTGATGATATATAAGTATATATATATCATCGATGATATATAAGTATAAGTATATATATATCATCGATGATATATAAGTATATATATATCATCGATGATATATAAGTATATATATATCATCGATGATATATAAGTATATATATATCATCGATGATATATAAGTATATATATATCATCGATGATATATAAGTATATATATATCATCGATGATATATAAGTATATATATATCATCGATGATATATAAGTATATATATATCATCGATGATATATAAGTAAATATATCATCGATGATATATAAGTATATATATCATAGATGATATATAAGTGTATATATAATCATCTAGATGATATGTAAGTGTATATATCATCTAGACGATATATAAGTGTGTATATATCATCTAGACGATATATAAGTGTGTATATATCACCTATACGATATATAAGTGTATATATCATTTATACGATATATAAGTGTATATATCATCTATATAAGTATATATATCATCTATATAAGTATATATAATATATATGATACATATGATATAGATGATATATAAGTATATATGATATATATGATATATAAGTATATATGATATATATGATATATAAGTATATATGATATATATGATATATAAGTATATATGATACATAAGCTTATCCATATACATATGATATATATACATATATATCATATATACATATATATCATATATACATATATATCATATATATCATATATATGAGATACGTATATATGATATATGTATCATATATATCAATAACAGGATCGAGGCTGGCCCATGGCTGGTCTACACTTCCCAGTCTTCCTTGCAGCTCGATATGACATATAAGTATATATATCGTATATATGACATATAAATATATATATCGTATATATGACATATAAGTATATATATCGTATATATGACATATAAGTATATATATCGTATATATGACATATGAGTATATATATGATATATAGACATATCTATATATGATATATATGTATATATGATATATAGACATATATATGATATGCATATGGATATATATATATGAGATAAAGTGTCTCTTCAGGTCTTTTTTTCAGCTTTTATTGGGCTGTTCATCTTTTGATTATTGATTTGTTAGAGTTGTTTATGTACTCTGGATACTTCCTTGGTCAGTAATATTTTCTCCCTGTCCATGACTTGCCTTTCATTTACTAACAGTGTCTTTTATTAGAAGAAGTTTTAAATTTAGATGAAGTCTAATTTATCAGTCTTTTCTTTTATGGTTATTGCTTTCTGTAACCTGTCCAAGAAAAACTTTGTCTCCTCTCAAATTGCACAGATATTGTCCTATGTTTTCTCCTAGGAGCATGGTAACTTTAGTTTTTAACATTTGTGTCTAAGAAATAATGTAATCCCTACCAAAATTCTAAAGTCATTCTTGATAGAAATGGAAAAAATTTCTAAAATTCATATGGAGCCAGAAAATACACCAAATCTTGAGCTAAAAGAACAGAACAAGGCTGGAGGCATCACCATCTGGTTTCAAAATATATTACAAAGCTATAGTAATCAGAACAGCATGGTACTGCCAAAAAAACACATCGACCAATGGAACAGTACAGATAATGCAGAAATAAAACCATGCATTTATGGTCAATTGATTCTGAACAAAAGTGACTTGATTTGTTTTCATTATGGATAACCATGTCGTTTCAGCCACACTTGTTGGAAAGGCTTTTGTTTCCCATGAATCTCTTTTCAAAACATTCCCTCACCTTCCATACTGCCATTCCCCTTCCCTTTCCAAGCCTGCTGCTCACTGACATCCTCCCTCTGGTCCCACAGGACCTTCCTCAAAGTGGAGACTCTGTAGATAGAACCTCATTTCTGGCAAAGCTGCATCACTGATGTGAAGAAATAAAGCACTCAGAGTTAAACTGAAGTTTCAACTCTTTATTCTTACTTCCCCAAAATTAAACCATTTTGGCATGACAGGTGTGAGTCTGTGCATGGTGGCTGAGACCTGTATGGTGTGTGTGGTGTCTATGAACTTCCCCAAAGACAGACTGGAACTCGCCACACTAGGCATCTTGTATAGCACCAGGCATATGGTAGTGTGGAGATGGTAGAGGAATACATGGATACATAAATCATGAGAGGCCTTATCCAGCACCTTATTGGAGCTCATACCCAAAGTGATGCCAGCACTCTTGATCTCACACACCAAAGATAAATGTGCTTAGCCTCAAGGACTTGTTCTTAGCTTGAAAGCTCCTTGGGGAAAGCATTCTTATTTATTATTTGTGCCTCCAAAACACACCTTAGGACTTGGTCCTGGAAAATCCTAGTGCCAACTGAAATGGGTTGAATGGCCTGTGTTCACCTGGTGATGGCTCATGGTTCTTCATCTTCTCAGTGGGCTCCTTTTGAGTTTTATGTTAACTCTACCAATATGGAGTTGGATCTTCAGGCCAGCTTTGAAAATTATGACAGAATTCGCTCATTTGTAGTTTTCCAATCCTCCCTCCTTCCTCCAAGTCTCATGGGATGTCAACAGTGGTATTGATCATTTCTTCTGCAGGCTCCAGGTGTCCTGTGGGTTTATCTTCCATTTGCACCAGTACTCACATCTCCCTGAAAGTACAATCTGATGGTGGGATCCTCTCTCTTTTTCTGGAGTTAATTACTATCCCCTTGGGGAATATGGAAATGCAACCAGCACACAGGAAGCTGCTTTCTCTCCAGGTTTGTTAAACATGTCCTGTTGCTGTGTAAATAGTTTTCTTTTTTTCTCCCAAGATGGTATAGAAAATACATTGTAATAATGAAGTAGGGAAGTGCTTGCAATGAATTAAGTGAAAGAAAAACCCAACCAATTATGAAGGGGAATATATGGCATGATTCCCATTTGTTAAGAACAAAAAATAAGACCAAAGAAATATACTTTGGTAAACATGGAAAAAAAGACTGAAATGCTATTGCTCAGCATAGGGTATTAGTGAGTTTTATTTTATTCCTTCTTCTTTTTATTTTTACATACTATTTAGAATTAACATGCTTCATTTTAAAAGTCAGAAAAATATTTATTTTTAAAAGTATTAACTTTTTAGTATATGGCCCTGATAAGTGATGGTAAGTGCTCTGAAGAGATCATAGTGGAGACCGACAGCCTACCAAAATGCATTCTCTCTAATAACAGGATCGAGGCTGGCCCATGGCTGGTCTACACTTCCCAGTCTTCCTTGCAGCTCGATATGGCCATGTGGTTACAATAGCATGTGAGCCAAAGCGATGTAGACCACTCAGAGGCTGGGCCTTTATGGGCAGAGGTATGTCTTGTCTTGTCCACTCCCTTTCCTTTTTTACAGGCTGGATGCAGACGACAAGGCTATATGGGACAATGGAGCAATATTCCTAAATTGCTATATGGGGGAGAACCACCTGCCAACTTGAACAACTGGTGTAGACTGCTCTGCAGCAAGGAAGTAAACTCCATAGCAGCTCTGCTCTGTTCATCATTGTTTCTTCAGGGCCTACCTGGGACCTGGCACAGAGGAGATGCTCTGTGTGTGTTTGTTGATTGGAACTAAACTTTTACTTTTCTGACATCTTTGTCACAAAGCCATGAAGAAATTACATATCCTTATGACAATTTACTTAGAGTAAATAAAATACTATTTTTGTGTAAAATGTGAGATTGCAACAATATGCTTCCATTGATTTCTCAGTCTTTGGTGCTGTAGTTGTGAAATACATTCTATCCACGTATGCTATCAACTCCAAAGTACAGCACTGCAATTTTCACTTTAAGCAGTCATAGTCTTTTAAAGAAGTTAAAATAATGAAAAGTACATGGTTTGTTTTTATTTACTCACACATTTGCTATTAATAGTGCTTTTCTTTTTTTCCTATAGATCCAAGTTTCCATCTGGCATCTTTTCCCTTCAGCTTCAAAAACTGCCTTTAGAATTTCTTATATTGCAAGGATGCTGGAGATGAATGATCTCAGCTTTTATTCACCTGAAATGAATGTATTTTATTCTCATTTTTACAGAGACATTCATTGGCTATTGAATTATTGGTTAACAATTTTTGTTGTTTTCCTTTAGCATATTAAAGATGTCTTTCTATTCTCTTATGGCATTCACTGCTTCTGATAAAACATCAGCCTTAAATAGTATTTTTGTTTCTCTTTGGGTAATATTTTTTTCTTTCTGACTGCTTTCTTGCTCTCTGACTGTTTTAAGATAATACATTTGTTTCTGATGTTTGACTATGATGTGCTAAGTGTGTTTTTTCTTTGCACTTGGTGATGCTTGAGTTTTACTAAATTTATCATGTCTGCAATTTGCCGTTTTTC
Organism: Homo sapiens; assembly: GCF_000001405.40. Taxonomy (NCBI): domain Eukaryota; kingdom Metazoa; phylum Chordata; class Mammalia; order Primates; family Hominidae; genus Homo; species Homo sapiens. Next base: position 48,680,598 of record NC_000010.11, read on the forward strand.
AATAAACCTGGGAAATTTCAAACATCATTTCTGCAAATGTGCTTTTCTGCCCTCCTCTCTCTCTGAGACCCCATTTACACATATATTATACCATTTCATATTGTCCCAAGAGCAGCTGAGTTTGTTTTTTTTCATCAATATTTTCCCCCTCTGTCCTTCAAATTGTATAATTTTTATTAATAAGTCTTTAAGTTCATTAACCCTTTTTTTCCTGTGGCCACCAATTTGCTGTTGGTCTATCAGTAAAATTTTTACTTCAGATATACTTTTCAGTTCTAGAATTTACATTTGAATCTTCTTGTATTTTCGATTTTTTTTTTTTTTGCTGAAATTTGCCTGCTTTTTTTTTAAGTTCCTGAATATATTTCTGATAGCTGCTTTAAAGTTCCTGTGAAATAATTCCAACATCTGGTTCATCTTGGGGTCTATTTCTATTGACAGTTTTTTATTTCTTGTTATGGGTTACATTCTTTTGCTTTTTCAGATTTCTACTAATTTTAACTCTATGCTAGATAGCATGGATGTTAAATTGAAAGGAGGCTGCATTAAGTTTTCTTCCTTTAAAGCATCTTGAGTTTTGTTCTGGTTGGCAGTTAAATTCCTTGGCTGCAGTGGCTCACACCTGTAATCTCAGCACTTTGGGAGGCTGAGGTGATGGGATCGCTTGAGCTCATTAGTTTGAGACCAGCCTGGCCAACACGGTGAAACAGTGTCTCTATTAAAAGCACAAAAAATCAGCTGGGCATGGTGGCACGTGTTTATAATCCCAGCTACTTGGGAGGCTGAGGCATGAGAATTGCTTGAAGCCAGGAGGTGGAGGTTGCAGTGAGCCGAGATCACCCCACTGCCCTCCAGCCTGGAGGACAGAGCCAGACCGTCTCAAAAAAAATTACTGGAATATCCTTTTAATTCTGTCAGTCTTGCTTCTTTTATTCTTTGTTTGGTTGTATTAGGGTCCTCCAGAGAGACAGAACCAATTGGATATACATATATATATATATATATATATATGTATATGTGTGTATATATCTATATATATACATGCCTGCTCTTGTTTGTTTATTTCTTTATGTATTACAAGGAATTGGCTCATATGATTATAGAGGATGAGAAGTCTTAAGATCTTCAGTCAACAAACTGGAGACCCAGAAGAGCCAATGGTGTAAGGTCCAGTCTGAGTTCAAAGGCCTGAGAATCAGAAGAGCCAGTGTTGTAAGTGTTCCAGTCCAAGGGCAGGAGATGACTGATGTTCCATCTCAAGGAGTCAAGCAGCCAAAGTGTCCTCTTACTCAGCCTTCTGTTCTATTCAGGTCTTCAACCGATTGGAAACCACCCATGCATATTAGGGAGAACAGTCTGCTTGACTCAGCCTACTGATTCGAATGTTCATCTCATCCAAAAATACCCTCACAGACATGCCCAGAATAATGTCTCGCCAAATGTTTGGGCACCTCATGGCCCAGTCAAGTTAACTCATAAAAGTAACTTATCACATGGAGCTATTTTATTTCAATTTTGAACTTGTTCCAACTTTATGGCTTTTATTCTAGGCTGTGGTTCTTACTTCTTCAGTGTGGAGTCTGAGCTTCAGAGTTTTATGGTTTTAAATTTCCTCTCATCATTACCTTCATGTTTAGCCTGCAGGAGGACTCCTCTGATTGGTGTTTCAAGTTTGGTCTGCGGATTGGGGAGGAAGGAATACAAGAGGGCAGCTCTGAGCTTGGTGGGGTGAGGGCTCTGAGGTGTAAAGTGAAGTCCCACAATGCTCAGCAAGGTCTCTCCACACTCCATGGGATGCGACTGCAACATTCCAAGCACTGCACATTCTCTGTTACCTCCTTCAGTGCTCGGCCTTGGGTCAGTTGACCTCTGCTGGGTCTCTTGGAGTCTCACCCTGTGCACACATAGGAATCCTTGGCCAAGGGCACACACAATGAGTTCCCACAAGGCACACTCTCCTCAGGAACCTGCCCTGAACATACCAGAGCCTTCAGCAGCTTTGAACTCTGACTTAAACCTTTTCAGTTCAGGGAGACTACTGTCTCTGGGGCCCCACCTGCCTGCATCATAGCAGAAAAAGCATCACTAGAAAAAACTCCAGGGCAATTGTGGGGCTCACCTTGTGTGTTTTCCTTATCTCAAGGATCACAGTCTTGCTATTCAATGCCTGAAAACAATTATCTTGTGTATTTGAACTATTCTATAGTTGCTTTCAATGGGAGGGTATGTCCTATACCAGTTACACCACCATAACTGGGTGCAGAAGTAAAACTGCCATTTTGGGGCAATTGTTTAAAAATCAGAGAATCTTACATTGCCCTTTAACAAAAATACACATTTACATTAGCAGTTCATAGTTGCCCTGGCTGCTTCAGTGTCTTAGCTTTGGCAACTCTCTCACTAATAATAGCTTGCATTTGCACAGCCCTTTTCAGTATTTAAAAACTCTCTTGGCCGGGTGCGCTGGCTTACGCCTGTAATCCCAGCACTCTGGGAGGCCGAGATGGGCGGATCACGAGGTCGGGAGATCGAGACCATCCTGTCTAACACGGTGAAACCCCGTCTCTACTAAAAATACAAAAAATTAGCCAGGCGAGGTGGTGGGCGCCTGTAGTCCCAGCTACTCAGGAGGCTGAGGCAGGAGAATGGCGTGAACCCCGGGGGGCGGAGCCTGCAGTGAGCCGAGATCGCGTCACTGCACTCCAGCCTGGGCGACAGCGAGACTCCGTCTCAAAAAAAAAAAACCTCTCTTGCAAATATTATTTGATTTGTTCCTTCTAACAAGGCATTCATTCATTCTGCAAATAAGATGTCAATTATCTCAGTTAAGATAGTGAGAATTTCAACCTTGAGTTTCTAGCTCTGAATTTAGTGCTCTTTACCTGCCTGCTGCTGGCTACCCGGCAAGGTGCTGGGGTGGGTAGAAGGTAGGAGACCTGGGTGCAGGTGGGCCCTCCAGCAGACTTTGCGAGATCCCACTATGACAGACTCTCCGCGCTTCCTCTGGGCATTCACAGGCATGGGGTCCTGGCCTGTCCCATGCTGGCCACCCTTCCTGCCTCTGTGGAAGTTCCTCTGTCTAATCCGCTCTTACCATAGGCCTCTGATTTCAGGCAATATCTTCTTGTAGATTTTATTTATGATTTCATTGGTGACAATGACGAGGGGTTTTCATCATATACAACAAACACTTCACTGCAAATTCTCTAAGGTTTTCTCTTTCCCTTGGCTGGCACTGCATGTATCCTTTCAATTTCTCTTTTCTTTTCTTTTTTTTCTTTTTTTTTTTTTTGAGACGGAGCTTCGCTCTTGCTGTCCAGACTGGAGTGCAGCTGGATAGATCTCCTATTTTGGCTGCTGTCTACTGACAAGTTTGCACTGGTGGAGGTTGAGGTTTTGTGACAAATGTTATTTTCCTCTTTAAACCAATCTTGGAGCTTTACTCCATGTCATAACAAGTGATGTTGTTGCTGCCTCTCAGTCAGTCATGCATGGTCCACTGGTTTTGTGAGCTAGAGACAAGCGATGAGCTGCACTGAGGATCAAGGATCAGGCATTAGCGCTAACAAGTGCCCTTGCTCTTTGGCAAAATTCTCCTTTTACAGAGCACAAGCAGGATTGTGTGTGAATGGACATGCTTGTTTGTACTGTGGAGATGACGTTATGGATAGGTGACATGGATAATTCAGCCTAGTTTATATACTCAGAGGAATGAGAATTTGGAGTCTGAGTTTCAGAGACTTCCATTCTATGGTTTTAGATGTCCTCTCATCCTTGCCTCAGTGTTGGCCGCAGGAGGACTCCCCTCATTGGTGGTTCAAGTTCTATCTGAGGATGGGGGAGGAAGAAATCCAAGTGGGCAACTCTGAGCTTGGTGGGGTGAGGGCTGCCCAACCCATGCCATGTCCAGGGGTGCACTTAAACACACCTCTGATTAGATTCACCTAACACCATCATTGTTCTCATTTTGCCAGAGGCCCAGAGAGGAGAGGTGTGCACCAGTGGTCACACGGCTAGTGAAGAGGGGACACAGAATCCAGACCTACTCTTCTAGGGCTGGGCTGTACTTTCCATTTTGTCCTTGGCCCCAACCAGCACCGCTTGACCACGGAGGCTGCACAGCCAGCCCCAAGGGGCCTTGCTGCAGAACCCAAGTCACCCGCCAGAACTCCAGCAGCTCCGTGGTCGGCTGGAGAGTGGGCAGAGTCAGGCATCTGCCGGCTCTCCACTTCTGCTTTCTCCAGGAAATGAGCAGAGACCCAGCTCCAGTGATTCAGAGTGAAACGGCGCTGAGGACTGACGATGTGGGGCCGGGTCCTCTTCCCCCGAGCCTGAGGGGCTGCAGCTGGGGATAGGGGGCCCATGCCTTCTGATGTCTACAGGCGCTGACGGCCACCCCTCCAGGTAGGCCACCTTGCTCTTGGCCCAGCCAGGCCAGCCTAGAGGTGGGCATATGGGCGCCGCCTGTCAGCGTGGGGCCTACTGGCTGCCTCCTGGGAGGCTGACTATGGGGCACATGTGACCCAGTGCCTGGTTTGGGTTTGTGAATGTGGGAGAGGAGGTGAGCTGGGGAGCAGGAAGTGTGTGTGGCGTGGGGGGCCCATGTGGTCAGGGCCACTCCAGGGCCTGGGTCTGCCTGAGTGTGTGTCACTGCTGAAGTTTGGGAGTCAGGCTGGGCTCCAGCAGCACTCCTCGACCTCTGACGGTAGGTCAAGTCCTTTCTCGGGGTCCTGCTATGAAGGGAACCCTGGGAAGGGCTGACACGGGCTTTCCTGGTTGTCGAGGGGGCGGAGAGAGCAGGCCGACAGGACAGTGAGGCTCGCCCTCCAAGCTCCCTCATAGGCCTCTGAGGAGTGCAGAGTTGGAGGGCCATTTCCAACGGGCCTCAGAGGGAGCTGGTCTATCCCGGCCCTGTCATTACTCCACTGGGTTCTGGTAAGTAGGTGCCTCCCTGGGCTCACTTCCCTCATCTGAATTATTACAGCAAACCATTGAAACGCCTGCATTTTCTGCCTAAGCAGGGCCACCTGCTCAGTAAGGACTGATTCTTCTTTTCCCCTGAAATGAAACTTCTAGAACACTAAACCGATCCTTTGTCCCAACTCATCTAAAGTGTGGGGGGGCTGGTTTGATAACTAAGGGCTCTATGCATTACCCTTTCCATGGAGCACACTAATTTTAATATGAGTTTATGTATAGTCATTCATTTAGTTATTTAACAAATAGGTATTGAGAAACCACGCCCTGCCAGGCTCTGGTCAAAGCGGACAGGGGTCTACGGTGCTCAGCAGGTGGGAGAATAGCAGGTAGGGTGGGGGTCTTGGGAGGGTGGGGATGGCTCTAGTCTTCTGAGAGGGGACCTGTGAGGGAGGCCGAGTCCTGTGGGTTTCTGAGAAGTGTTCTTGATAAGGGTCTGGAGGAGGAGACCTCGTGGAGGTTGGTGTGGCAGAGCCGGGTAAGGGGCATGCCTGGGGTTCTGGCCAGAGAGGTAGGGAACAGGGTCAGGTCAGGGAGGCCCTTCCTGTCTGTCCATCCTGAGCACATGGGCTATTCTTTCATGAACTTGGAAAGATTTTCTGTGTTGAAAGAAAAGAAAATTTCGGCCAGGCGCAGTGGTTCACGCCTGTAATCTCAGCACTTTGGGAGGCTGAGAGGGGCAGATCACCTGAGGTCAGGAGTTCAAGACCAGTCTGGACAACACGATGAAACTCCATCTCCAAAAAAAAAAAAAAAAAAGAAGGAAAGAAAAGAAAATTTAGAAAGACCATAATAAGATAGAAGTAATAAAAACAGCATAAACCCTGTGTGCTGACACCTTAGATTTTTTTAAAGATCAGCATCATCTCTGAGGTCCTCTTCATGCCCATCTTTCACCTTCCCTCTTCAGAAGCAGCAACAGTCCAGAATTTTGGGTTTATTGTTCCCTTGCTTCTTTTTCTAATTTTACATCCCATATTTAAATCGCTATATATGTATGATTGCAAGTTGTTGAACTCTGTAAACATGGAATTAAATATTCTTTTAAAATTTGCCTAATTGGTTCAAAAGTTTGTTTCTGAAATTTCTTCATATTGTTGCATGTACCTGTAGATAATTAAAGTTTTCTGCAGTACAGTATTCTATTAGATGAGTGTACCTCAATATATTTATCTGAGATGCTGTTGATGGCATTTTAGGTATTTCAAGAGTTTATTTTTTTTTCTATTATAAGCAGTGCCGCTAGAACTATTTTTGTACATGCATCTTGGGGCATGTGTGCAAGAATTTATCTTGGGTATATACTCTAGAAATAGAATTGGTGGGTCATAGGTTGTACATATCGTCAGCCTTACTGGATGTCACCACGTTGTTTTCCAAAGTTTTTGCCTCATTTTACCCACCCCTCAGCAATGCACCAAAGTTTCTGTTGCTCCACTTCTTCATCAGCATTTGATATTGTCTGGTACTGTATTTCTGCCAATCTGGTAGAAATGAAAAGCTATCTTAGCATGTTTTTAATTTGCATTGACCAAATTACTAAGGTTGGACATCTTTTTCATATGTTTATTGGCCATTTGGGGTCCCTTTTCCTGTTCACATTTTTTGGCCATTTCTCATCGGGTTACCTGTCTTTTATCCTATTGATTTGCCATAATTCAATACATATTCTGGGTACTACTTTTTGTCATTTATATATATAACAAATATTTTTCATTTGTTGGTGCCTTGTCTCCTTATATTCCTGTGGTTTTTATTAATGACTGAATTTCTTAGTTTCAAATAAGTTTATCCACCTGTCGCTTTATGATTTATACTTGTTATGTGTTATCTAAGAAATTCTCCACTATAAGGTTGTAAAATTATTCTCATATTATTTTCAAAAAATGTTATAATATTACTTTTTACACTGAAGTCTCTAGTCTGCCTGGAAATGGCTTTTGTGTATGGCGTGAGGTGGGAAGAAACTTTATTTTATTCTGCTTTTCCCATATGGATAACCAAGAGTCTTGGCACCATTTATTTAATAGGCCATTCTTTTTTTTTTTTTTTTTTTTTGAGATGGAGTCTTGCTCTGTCACCCAGGCTGGAGTGCAATGGCATGATCTTGGCTCACTGCAACCTCCACCTCCCAGGTTCAAGCAATTATCCTGCCTCAGCCTCCCTAGTAGCTGAGATTACAGGTACATGCCACCACACCTGGCTAATTTTTTTTTTTTTTTTTTGAGACAGATTCTTGTTCTGTCACCCAGGCTGGAGTGCGGTGGTGCGATCTCAGCTCACTGCAACCTCCACCTCCCAGGTTCAAGCGATTCCTCTGCCTCAGCCTCTCCAGTAGCTGGGACTACTGGCGTGCGCCACCACATCTGTCTAATTTTTGGGTTTTTTAGTAGGGATGGGGTTTCACTGTGTTGGTCAGGCTGGTCTTGAACTCCTGACCTCAGGTGATCCACCCACCTCGGCCTCCCAAAGTGCTGGGATTACAGGCATGAGCCACCACACCCGGCCTAATAGGCCATTCTTTAGTCACTGATCCATGATAGCTCTGTTGTGAGTTGAGTTGTCATGTGCATGGGGGTCTTTCCTGGTTCTCTATTCTGTCAATTTGTCTAACCCTTTGACAATGCTAGACAACATTGTTAACCACAGGTTTATAATAAATTTCGGTATCTGGAAAGAGCCTCCCCATTCTTTTCTTCTTCCATCCTGTCTTGAGAATTCTTGGTATTTTACTCATTCATATAAATTTCAGAATTGGCTTTCAACAGAAAAAAAAACTATGTTCAGATTTGACTGGAAATATAATTTGGAAAGAAGTGATATCTTTATGAAAATGACTTTTCCAATTCATAAACGTGGTCTGTCTCTCCACTTATTTAGGTCTTCTCTAAAGTATTTAAATACAATGTTACTATTTTCTTTATAGCAGTAGTGCATATTTTGACTAGACATATCCCTAAGTGGTTTATATTTTTATATTGTGTCAATTGTCATTAAAATACATTTTTGGACTGTTGCTATTTGGACTGATTCTTGTTCAAAATGCAAGCATTTTAAACAAGAATCATTTTAGGTGTCATGTGAAGATTGTAGGAGACCAAAGGAAGAAGCAAGACTATCAGTTCAGAGGCTTTTGCAATAACCCAGGCTAGAGGTGGTGGTGGCTTGCCCCAAAGTGATAATAGTTGAGATAATGACAGGTGGTCAGAGTGGTCAGATTCTAGATACTTTTTTGAGGGTAGGATTTGATGACATTTTAGGTATAGAGCATGGGAGAAAGAGAGAAGCTAAAGATGACTCCAGAGTAACAGGAAGAATGAGATTATCACCTACTGAGCTGGCTTGAGGGCAGTAGAAGCAGATTTGGAAGGTGGAAGTAGAAGCAGAAATATGAGTTTGGTCATACAAAGATGGAGATGCTTGTTAGACAATATGTGAAGAAATGAAGGCTTGGCCCCCTCCACCCCCACCCCAGTGAACTTCATGGTAGACAAGCAAGGCAGCTTGGCCAACTGGCAGAAAGAAGGAATATATCTTGTGTAGGAGGGTAAGGAAAATGAACTTCTCAGAGTTCCTAAAGCCACACCTTAGAGCTGCTACCCGTTTTATTTACAATTAGGGGCTTGCATTTGTAATCTCCCTCCAAGTGCTATAAACCATCAAAATGCAGATAGATGATATCTCCTAAACCCTTGGCTGCCAGTCCCCTTTGAGGTATCTGCACTCCTTAAAAACTTAAATATCAAAGTCTAGACCTTTGTTATCCAATACAGAAGCCACTAGCCATACTTGAAATGTAGCCGATGTGAATTGAGATGCACTGTAAGTGTGAAATACACACCAGATTTTAAAGATGTTACAAACTAACAACAAAAAATTATAAAATACCTCAGTACCTGAAAATATTGATTACATAGTGAAAATATTTTGGATATATTGGGTTAAGTGAAATATACTTTAAACATTAATTTAACCTATTTATTTTTATTTTTAAAATGTGTCTACCAGAAAATTTGAAATTACACATGTGGCTGGAAGTTGTGCCTGGCTTTCTATTTCTAATATTTCTATTGGACAGCAGCCTTTAGAGGAATGATACTTCTTGTTTTATGGCCAGAGGCTTTCATGGGAATAGAGTTTGAGATGGATGAGAGGTAGGAGAAGTGAAAAGCCACTTGAACCAAATAATTCCAAGGAGAAAGAAAATATACAAGCTAATAATAATGGGTTTAGTACCTAAATAAACCAGGGACTTGTACTTGCAAGCTCACTTAATCCTCAAGATGAGATAAGTTTCATTATTCCCATTTTACAGATGAGAAAATGGAGACTCAGAGATGTAAGGTTCTTTGCCCTTGAAGAGTGAGTGACTGAGCTGGGATTTGATCCTAGTTCCACCTGATTTTAAAGCCTGTGCACTTGCATTAGACCACACTACCACTAAAGGGCTGAAGAAGCTACACTTCTAGAAAGGAATAGTGAATATTTGGCAGGAGTATGACAGTGGTTCTTCCCTTTTGGCTGAATGATTAATTCTTCTTTTGAGAATTCATAGGAAACAAAATCATTGCAGCAGGGATCCTTCCCCTCAGCATTGCCCATGACAGCAGTGGAGACAATCTGAGCATCCAGTTATTACAGAGTGAGAGTCAATTATGGGTGATCCATCAGGAGGATGCTCCATGGTCACTAGGTCTGATACTTTAAGGAAAAGGGCAATGTAGAACATGTTTATGATATGATGGATGATTAATGCAATCAAATCATTTTCACATTAATTACAAGCAAAATATACTTGTGATATGGGATGTTTGGGGTGTTGCTTTTTCTGGCCAGAAACCTCTGTGGCCAGTGGCACCTTTGCCTGAGTTCTTGTCCTGCATCCAGTAAGAATGAGGGATGCAGTCATGTGGAGGGTGAGCAAGATGAAGAGGAGCTTTATTAAGTGTTAGAACAGCTAAAAGGAGACCTAGTGGGTAGCTTCTCTCTATAGGCAGGTTGTCCTGATGAGCACTCAGCTCTCAGCAGAGGGGATATGTCCTCTCTGCAGCTGGTTGTCCCTACGTCTGCAGCTCTCAGCAGAGAGGAGGCCCTGGAGAAGGTAGCTCTTCTCTGCAGCTGGTCCTCCTATAATCTTCCCAGCTCTCAGCAGAGAGTAACTCCTCCCTGCAGCTGGTCATCCAGTCGTCTCTCCATCCTCTGCTCTGTTCTGGCTGAACCCAGGGTTTTTATGGACCTCAGAGGGGAGGAAATGAGAGCCAACTGGGCCATAGGTGGCCATGAGCAGCCTGAAAAAGACAACACAAGTCCCCACTCTGGTTTGTGGGTCTGGTAGCCCAGCCCCCAGCCTTCAGGCCCTCCTTGGCTTGAAGGTGGGACCTTACCGGGGCCCTCCCCCACTCCACCCAGGAGCCTATCTGCCCCCTGCTGCCTTCCATGGTGCCCTGGCTGTTCATGCCAAGGGATACCTGAAGGCCAGTGCAAGTGGCCTTCAACCCCTTCCCCTCATCACAGCCTGAGGCAGGGGCTCCTGATCCTCACTGGGTCCAGGCCAGAATTTGGGACAGGGGCAACATCAACAGGAGCTCCCCCTGTTGCCAAGGCTGTCAGGACCCACTGGGGCAGAGCTAATCAAGGGTCCGGGCTGGATGTGGGAAGTGGCAGGCTCGGTGGTCACCCTGACTTAGGGTGGCAGACTGAGACATTGCCCTGGGTGTCCTGTGCAGAGCCTCCTCCCAAGGCGCAGGAGCCCAGCACCCTTGGTGTGGGCTGGCTGGGTCCCCGAAGTGGGCACCACTCCCACTTTCCACCCGGGCCCCTAAGCCTGACCCTAGCTCCACACTGGCACCCCTCTCTGCCTGACCATGCTGCTCTCCTGTCACGCTGCTCCCCTGCTGGCCGGCTGGCAACCCGGCCTGGCTCCATCATGGCAGCCCCCAGCGTAGCGGGCTGCTGGAGTTGGGGGGCTGTCTGCCTCCTCCCCTTGCCCTCCCTGCAGTGGCTGGCATGATGGCAGTGGCCGTACCAGACTTCCTGCTGCTGCCATCACTTGGATGTGAAAATTAGTAGGCATAAAGAGAAATATTTGTTGATTTTTGTGTTTTCCATGTAATAATAAGAAAATTTCTCAGTAGCGCTCTAATATCGACTTTTAAAAGGATAAGCACAAACTAGAAAGGGAAATGTAGTCAAAGATAAAGGTATGTACACATAAAGAAATTGTGTGGAGGATGGCCAAAACATGTGAGCAATTAGTAACGTTAAAACACGCTGTCAGGAACCCACTGATCAACTGTGGACAGAATCCAGGGAGAGTGGCCCTGTGTGCAGAAGGCTGCAGGGTGGCAGATGCTATAACAGAGGCAGGGTCGAGCACCCCTGCAGCTGTTTGTTCCCAGAGTCTCTGCCCTGAGAATGCCTGTTCTTTAGGAGAAGGAGGAGGGTAGCAATTAAAAGGGTGATGAAGCCCAGGATGGGGGGTGTGAGCCTCAGGGCACAGGCTCCTAAGCCAACCAGGAACCAAGCCTGCATGTCCAATGTATGCATAGCAGCTCCACGTGGTCTCAGCCTTCGAGTGGTGTGTAGGGTGATTGAATGGCCAGGCAGATCAGGGTGGCAAATGCCCAGATATTCAAAAGGGGAAAAGCCCAGGGCACTGCCCTGCTGTCAGATCACAGATTCTTGTATTTCCTTTTAGCCTCACACACCTGTGGGCCTGTGGGCCAGGACACCTTTACCCTATCCGAGTGACAGGAACAGAAGGGCGGGACAGTGCCCCTAGGTGAGTCTACACCTCTGCCAGTGGGCGGGATCCTCACAATCACCACCCTGGAAGACTGCCTTTGTTCCACAAAACACTTCCTTCCTCACACAATTGCAAGTGTCTGAATCATCTCATTTTTGAAGTGTGTATTTAATGTGATGATTTTCCCTCCCAAAGTGCTTTAATTAAATGACTGTAGCATTTTATAATCGATAGAGACTTTGAATTGAGGAAATACAAGAGTGAGAAAGAGAGCGTATTCATGAATAACAATGACATTAAGGAGGAACGGGATGGGAGCCGCAGTTGTTATAGGCAGTAGGCACTGAGGAAAATGATTGATTTGGGAATTAATGCAGGCCAACCCTTGTGTGGCCTGCCTGACTGTGCCAGCCAAGGGCTTTCACTGCCTAACTTCTCTTTTCTCCTGTACATGGGACAATCAAAGCCCTGCTGCCCGCTGTCTGCCTCACTGTTCCATTGTAATTACTGAGATCGTATCTTGATGCAGCCTTGAAAACTGGAAGGGGCTGTCGCCTGCTGGTGATGGCTGCCTTCTAATGGCAGGATGGCCCAATAGTGGGAGCAGTTTGAAAGTGGAGAGGAGCAGGGTTGCTTCTTGTGTTGAGGGGGGCAGCCATGAGCTGTGTCTGGAAGGTGGCATGTTTGGACCGTGGTGCTGAAGGGGGAGATTTCCAGGCAGAGGAGGTGGCCTGACTGAAGGCAGAGGGGTTATGGTGTGAGTGATCAGTGGATTCAGCTTAACCCCACTGAGGGTGCAGGGAGGAATTAGGCAAGGAGGGGGTTGAGTCCTATCATCAGGGCCACAAGCTTGGGAAGTTTCCCAGAGAACATGGGAGCTGCGGAGGACGTTTGCTCAGGGGAGGGACATGCTGGAGTTGTGCTGTAAAGTCTGACAGTGTGGGGTGGATGGGAGGTGGAGGGGAGCCTGGAGGCAGAGACTTGCTATGGTGCAGCCAGGGGACAGATGAGCAAGCAGAGGTGTTGGTGCCGGGCCCACTCTGGCCTACCAGCCTCATACAGGGCAGGCCCAGAGGACCTGTGTCACCCAAGCAAGTGGCATTCTCAGGCCCCTTGACCCCTTTCTGTTCTATTCAGATGCCATCCTCCCACCTCCTTCGGCACGTTGAATAATTAAGAAAATTATTCCTGGTACATTAAGAGGTCTGCCAGCTTGTGGGAGACTCATTCTGGTTAAACAAATATTCAGCTCTCAGAGGAGAAATCTGAAGCTTGTGAACCTGGGCAAATTTGAACAGCCGAACTTCACTGGCAGACACCTCTTTAAGGAGCATCTATTCTAAACGCTTCATGTTACAGGTGGGAAACTGAGTCACAGAAAAGCAAAGAGACTCAGCTTGGAGGCTGAAGCCCCCACTTCTAGTGGCTAGCAGTATATTTCCTTGCTCTTCTCTTAGGTGAAAAGCATCAGGAGCCAAGCTGTATCTGAAAGTGTCTCTTTTTCTCTTTAACCTAAAAGCAGAGTTTTCTGGGTCCAGGTTGGCCTGGCACAGGAGAGGACAGGGAACTCAAGAAAATGAGTCACTCTATCTGTGACGTAGGTGGTTTGTGCCCTCACTTTTTTGTGCTTTGATGAATCCGGAGAACTAAGAGATCTTTAATTCCTGAGGAGCCAGGCATGCATACTTCCAGATATGTTTCAAAGTTTCACTTGTGATTTTTGTGTCTTTATTCTGATCAAATTATTCTTGAAATTTAATCAGCTAAATGGGATGATTGTGTGACCAAACCAAGCCATCTGGAAATGTGTCAAAATCTTTCTTACCTTAGCACGTGAGATATAAAGGATCCTGCAAAGTTCCCCTGTCATTTTCCTTCTCTGGGAGTTTGGAGGGTGAGGAATCAGATGGGGGCTGCTCAGAGTCTGGAGACATTCCTAATAGAGTCCCTGGCTAAGCTTTCTGCCCTGTTCCTGCTCATATCCCTCCTAGTTGGACAAAGCCAGGTCTAGTTAAGCCCAGCCTCTCCTGTGGCTTTATTTCTTTCTCCTCTTTTCTCTAACCTGCCCACTGGGTAGCTTATTTCTACTTCCCTCCTACTCCCTCTCCAAAGCCCCTGCTTCTGTGACACCTCTTCCACCACCCCCTAGCCTCCTCCACCCCCATGTATTAGAGCATCCCTTTACCCGTCTCCTCTCCCAGGAGGCTGTGAGCTCCTGGTGGCAGAATTACCAGTGACAGGCAGCTGCCAGCTGCTCCTGTCACTCTCTGCTGAGAGCCCCACAGTGATTCCCAGGACCGCTCCGTGAGACAAGCACCATGTCCATGTCCATCGGCTTGCCACTCCGGACTCTCTGCAGGGCCCTCTCACCATGCACTCACTCAACCCCTGAGCCCCTGTCCCTGCTTTTTCTTGGACACCTGTGCCATTTGCCAGACACTCACTCACGCTGCCCGGGGTGCCTGTCCACTTACTGCCAGGGTCCATCCTTACTCTTCAGTGTCCACCACTGGCACCATATGTCCTAAGAAGACCTCCCAGACTTCTCCACCCTCCCCAGTCTGGGCCATAAGCCTCCTCTTGCCCCACAGCCACCACCACCCTGCCCAATGACTGTCCCACTGCATCTGCTTCCTTGCTGGCCCCCTGCTCCCCCTGAGCTTTGAAGTCCAGGGTGTGGACAGAGGGTGATCCTGCTCCTTGCATGTTTAATAATCCAGAGACCCACTACACGGAACATGCCAAGTAGAGCAGTAGCCCCAGTGGCTTTGCCTGGAGGACAAATGACTGACACTGAGTGTGCTGGTATCTGTGGAGGGAATGCTGGCCAAGGAGTGTCCACGTTGTCCAAGGCTAATGAACCCTTATCCTTGAGGCTCCCAGGGATCTGCTTTTCTCTGGGGCAACAGTGCAACCACAGAGTCTTGTTTTGGGCCTCCCAGCTTGTTGTGTGAGCTGCGGGCAGACAGCAGGTCTGGCTTGGATCTCCTATGGCTGAGGGTCAGCAACAACTATGCAAGTCCAGCCAGGGACTCCCTGCAACACTGCAGGCTTCAGCTAGTACCATGGCATATTCCACCACCACTGACCACTGCCTGAAGCCAACCTTGAGTGCTGGAAGAGGGAACCTGGGTTTGACCTTGATTCTGATGCTTGTCAGCTGTTTGATTTCAGATACATTACTTGTTTTCTGAGTCTCGCTTTACCCATCTGTACAGTGGGAATAGTAATGCCTACCTTACAGGTTTTCTAAGAGTAGAGAACATTGATGTCTCTGTTAGTAGATGGTCACTTTTCCATGGCCTTTCTTACCTAAGGGAACACTTTCTTACATTTCAGTGGAGACCGAGCCCTGATCGGCTCCCAGTTTGGAGAGGCTCACCACCTTTCCACAGGGACTGGGGCTTCTTGTAACCTGTGCTGTCTCCAACTCAGGTCTTTGTCCCCATCATGATAGCTCAACCATAGCCAAACTGTAGGGGTCCAGCCAGGGGAACTGCTCCCTGGCCATTTTTGGCAATGTGGAAGTAGGTACACATACCGAGATACAGAACCAGCCCCTTCCACAGGACACTGTGAGTTCCTGTATTCCGTTGCTGTTGCAAAAACCATAGAGGTGTGTGCTGACCAGGAGCCCAGTGAGGACTGGAATCAGAAAGAGGAAGTTTTGAGAGCCATGGAAGGTTTGCTGACCTGCCTAGTTCCTTCCAATGGGAGTCTCCATCTTAGTCTTCAGGGGATCCCCTGAACTTCTGGAAAACACCTGCATTGCCTCAGTCTCCTCGTGAGTCCTTTGAAGCAGGTGTAGGGCCCTGGGCCCTGCCATTCTCTGCCAGCAGGCACACTCAGCCCTTGGCCCAGGTAAGAAGTGGGGACACTCGCTGACTGGTGATGTCTAGGGCCGCACCGAGGTGATTGCTGGAGTTATCGTGAGTCCAGCAGCTGCGCCTGCTCCTGGCACTCCCTTGAGGAGGTGCTGGCCATGCAGGGCCCACAGGGAACCTCCTGAGTGGCCCACTCCTTGCTCTCCCACCTGCTGTCTGCAAGGCTGCCCCTGACTCCACCTGGCCCTGATGTGGCATTCCCCCAACACAGGCTTGGTCTTGGAGGCAGCCCTCCTGCTCGTGTCTCCACATTGTGTCCTCGCCAGGGCCAAATCCTCACATGCAGCACTGTCTGGCCATGCTCAGGCCCACATCTCTACGGCCCTGTCCTGACATCCAACAAACCAGCTCCTTGTGAGGAGACCCGAGATTGGACAGACTCAGCGGCCAGCCCAGGGGGAGGTGATGAAGGCAAAAGGAAGGGTCTAGGCTGGGACTAGGGCAGCTGACTCAGACCTTGGGGCTGAACCCCAAAGATGGATGGAGGCCCCAGAGCACACTTACAAAGGCCATGTGGGCTGAAGCTCCCAAGGGAAGTGCAGATTTTAAGAGCTTCGAGGCAGCAAGGTGCAGAATGCAGAAGAGGCCATGCAGTGCGCACTCTGTGGGCATCTAGCATGTACTGGACACCCTCTCACATATGTTGGCTTGCTTAATTCTTTCTGCAATGTTGCAAGGACGATATTGTTCCCATTTTACAGCTGGAGACATTGAGGTTGAGGGAGCCTGAGTCGCTAAGGTTACAGGTTAGGAAGAGATGGAGCTGGGATTTGAATCTGATCTATGTGATGCTGCTCTGGGTTGGCCTGGCCTTGGAGCTCAGGAGGGGTCAGGCTGGCCAGAGGGACTAGGTTCAGGGTGGTGGTGGTGCTTACCAGCGAGTCAAGGCCAGAGGTTGTCACACAGCCCAGGCTAACAGGCCCACTCCTAGATACATGGAGCTACTTGAGGTGGGCCTGGAACACTCAGGTCTCACCCAGCTCACAGGTAACTTAGGAGCTAATGTCAGGGCTCTGGACAACAGGCCCTGCCATGAAGCAGTAGAGACCTAGCAGGGGCTCCCAGCTCCCTTCCCGACCTGCTTTGTGATGTTCTATGAGCCACCCACATCTCTGGGCATCACAGAGCTCTGGGGGTCTTAGCCTCCCGTGTCTTCCTGGCCCCTGGCCTCACCTGGGGACGTGTTGCAATCACCTTAGACCTTGTAGCCAACACTTACACATGGCGCCACTCAGAAGTAAGTCACAATGTTGGGGAACCCGGCCTCCAAGGTGATCTGGTGAGTGGCCTGGGTGGGCGATGGCTGCTCTGTTTCCAAGCTCACCAGGCATCTGATGTGCAGGTGTGCATCTAACAAAGATGCACGTGTGACTTTTTGGAGTCAGATGCACATCTCGTTGGGTTATCTCCAGGGTCCCGCCTTCTTTCTGTTTCTAAGGCAATCCCTCTAACCAGAGTGATCATGGCCCCATACCTCCTGGCTGTTCTTTCTTCTTCTCTTTCCTGTTCCAGGCTTGGTTTACTGCCAGCCAGGACAACCTTTCTAGAATGGTGTTTCCTGGGCCATTTTCCTGCTTAGTACTTCCAGGGTCTCCCCATTACCCAGAATGCCAGGTCTAACCATGCTGGCCTCCCTTTTCTGGTCCCACATGACTTTAGGTGGCATCTTGTCCCACGGCCCCCATGTCACCTTGGCCTGTTTGCTGCATGTCTGCCTCCAGCTTGCTTCCTGCCTGGCCTTCTCTGAGTAGCCCTTCCATCCCCACGGGTGCGCCTGTCCTCCATGGCCCCATGCACATTTGTTCTCCTACGGTCCTGTGCCCCAGCTCTTGAGATGGCCTCCGAGGAGGGGATGCGTTGTCCATTACAGAGCCTCTCCTGTGACCTGCTTCTCGACAGGCCATCTCTTGGTGTCTCCCAGCAGCACATTTTTTCAGACGAGGATTGGCACTGTGGAGAGTCACTTCTGAGATTCCACAGCTCATGGCATGAGGAGCAGGAGCCGGAATGCAGGACTTGATGCCAGGTTCCAATTTTGCCTGCCCACGATGTCTGTCTTCTAGCGTGGGAGATTACACCAATCTCCTGCACATTTGAAGCACTCTGATGTCACTCTCCTGTTCCCAAGCGTGCCAGGGCTTGAAGCTTGTGGCTGTGGCAGTGACAAGGCCCCTGTGACAGTCCTGTTCCAGCTTTCTAGTGGGTGGGCCTTGCCTGTGCAGATCAGACCAAGATTTCCATGAAATGCTCTTTCTGAGCAGCAGTGGCCTCCCGGAGGAACAGTGAGGGGCAAGAGGCCTTCACCCCACTTCTGGCATGACACTGAAGACCTCTTTCTCTTGGGGGCCCTCTGTCGACCGTATCATGCTCAGTCTTTGCTCAATTTATTCTCAGTGGGGGAGACGGATTGAAGGTGTGGGGTTTATCCACAACCCCAAATATGGCTCCTGCTTTGCCTCATGCTTCTAAGAAGGCAAAGTTTAACGCTGTGCATGCCAAGTTGTACTGGTTCAATAAACGCTGATGGGAAATGTGGACAGGTCTGGCGGGTGAAGGGCTTTATCCAGGACAGCCATGCTGTATCCGCCGAGGCTCTCCAGAGAAACAGAACAATAGGATGTGTGCATGTGTGTAGGCAGAGAGACATTTATTTTAAGGTACTGGTTCACAGAATTGTGGCGGCTGGCAAGTTTGAAATCTTCAGAGTGGACTGGAGACTCAGGGAAGGGTTGCCGTGAGTCCGAAATCAGTCCGCTGGCAACTCTGGAGGAGATCAGAGGTCTCTCATGAAATGCACTATAGACCTAGCCGGCCCGTGCAGCCCCAGAAAGCACATGCTACAGGGCTCACAGCCCCTGCCACGTCTCCATTTCCTCCTCCACAGACAGCCACGCTCACCTGGTTTTTGCCCCAGGGGGAGGTGAGGTCTGGGAGGTGAGGAGAGGGAAGTGGGAGGTGGAGGGAGCAGAATGTCTATGGACAGGGCTCTCAGGGTGACCATGGAGAAGAGGGTGGGGCCTGGCCATAGCCACTCTGAGACAGCAGGCAGAGAAGGAGATCACACACTCAGTGTTCAGAGCTTTCAGTGTTGGGGCTTGCAGCATGGGGACTTCGGAGCCAGCAGGGGCAGAGGCACAGGGACCTATTGTAACATCCAGTGTCCCTCCTGTCCCCTTCACACCCCACACGCATACACACCAGAGCTCCTGCTGTCAGTTAATACATCACCGATGTGGGCAAGGACTTTCCCCACAGTGGAGAGTGGGGAGAGGAGGGGCTCCTGTTTTGGAGGAGCTAGACAACCTCAGAGGGAGAGTGGTGGAGAGGTTTTGGAGGCAGACAGATCTGGACCTCAGTGAGTTGCAGGCTCCTGCTCCCAGCCTCAGTTTCCTCATCTGAAAATGGTATCCCTAATGTCCACGTCTTGGAGTCATCATGCAGGCTGAAAATGCAAAAGTGCAGCTGGCCTGCCACACACTAAGCTCCCAACAAGGCTAAACTCCAGCTTTGCCTGAGACACTTTAGCCTCTCACACTGTGCTTTTTGTTTTTGTCCTCTTGGTCTACTCTCTGGGCTGAGAGGTGAGGGTGAGGGGTGATCAGGGCTTGCAGTAATGCTAGGTAAAATCTAGATGATAGGATTCTTCTGCTTCCAAAGTCCCTCTCCAAGGCTTCTCCTCAGGTGGTGGTCCTCCAGGTGTGGTCCCTGAACCAGCTGCCTCCTCACCTCCTGAGAACTCTTCAGAGGTATAAATTCCTGAGACCCACCCCAGACTTACTGACTTGTAAACTCTGGGGCTGGGGTTCAGAAATCTGGTTTTAACAATCTGTTCAGGTGATGCTGATGCATGCTGAAGTTTTAGAACCACTGCTTTTCAGAACAGTTTCTCCAGGAGGGCAGGTTTTAGGCTGAAGGTTCACCTCCCAGCACCACCCCAAGGCTGGCCATCAGCAGGCGAATCATCTCAAAGGGAGTCTCAGAGCACTGGTCCTTCAATCAGCTCTTTCCCCAAGGGCCCACAGGAAAGCCTGGAGGCTGTCATTCCACTGACATGAGTCCCCTCACCTACACTTCCCTCCTTTGCTTTGTACGTTATGTAGACTGTGCTTTGGGGGCCCTTTACCACATCCTGCAGGAGCTCCAATGCTCTTGCCCAGTTTCTGCAAATTCTCAGGGTCTTATGTCCTCCAAGCTACTTCTATCTCCTGATTTCTCTGATCTTGTCACTGGGTCTCATCTGTGTCCCCTTTGTTTACAATAGTGTTCCTCCCTTCCCGGAACTAACCCAGGTGTGGAACACAGAGCTTCTGTAATTGGCGTCCCATAATCCCTCCAATACAATGCCATCATGTGGCAAATGTTTACTGAAGCCTTGGCCCAGAAGGGAATTCTCACTCCTGAGAACACCAGCTGCGTGAGCACGCCCAGGGATGCTGCGCAAACGCACCATGCCTCCATCTCATCTCCACCTGGGGGTGGGAGTGTGTGGGGTCATGACAGTTCCTGTGCCATGGGCTTTTGGGAGAATTAAATCACGTTAGGTGGGCACAGCCTTTGGCAGGGGGCCTAGTGCGGAGCTAGCACTCAATAGATGCTATTATCGTTATGATTTTATCGTGGTCATTAAACTGGATGAATTATTTTCTCTTCCTTTATCTTTTATCTATTTATTGATTTTATTTATGAATTTATAATTGTAGTACATACCACAATCTATAAGTAACATAACATAAGATTCACCATCGTAACCATTTTTAAATGTATAGTTCAGTGGCATTGAGTATATTCACGTTGTTGTACAACCATCAGCACTATCCAGCTCCATTACCTTTTCATCTTGCAAAACTGAAACTCTGTGCCCATTAAACGCTACCTCCCCATGCACCCCTCTCCCCAGTCTCTGGGAACCACCATTCACCTTTCTGGCTCTATGAATTTGACTGCTCCAGGGACCTCATATCAGTGGATCACACAGCATTCGTCCTTTTGTGACTGGTTAGTTCACTTTGTATAATTCTCTCAGGGTTCATCCATGTCGTAGCATGTGCCAGAATTGTCTTCCTTTTAAAGGTTGAATAATATTCCATTTCATTGATTACACATTCATCTATCATTGGACACTGGCTTGTCTCCACCCTCTGGCCATTGAGAATAATGCTATTAGGAACATGGGTGTACACGTGTCTGCTTGTGTCCCCACTTTCAATTCTTTTGGGTATACTTTTACTTTTTGTAATTGACCTACCTTGTCTATTAGTTCAACCAGTTTGATGTAACAATCAATAATAAACATAGTATTTTTAATTGGATGCAAAAGTGGATGAGAACTTAAAGGACAGTCTCCCCACTTGACCAACGTGGAGGCTGAGGCCAAGGAAGGGCCCTGAGTGAGTTCTTATCTGAGGGTGGTTTCTGTGGACAGGAGCCTTGACCTGTCCCCAGCTGGTGGCATCTTGAGGAAAGAGGAAGTGTGGTTAAGGTGGAGCGTGTGGACTTTGGAGTCCGATGCACAGAACTTGGCTGGTGGCCCCGTGGGAAGCTATGGAACCACTCTGAGGCTCTTTCCAGCACCTGTGAAATACTACTGTTTACCACCTCGTGGGGTGTTGCTGTGGAGATAAAGATAGATGATACAGAGATAAAAATGCAGAGCTACTATAAAGTGAGCTCTCAGGGAGGGAAGTCACTGCTTTGATTAAATAGAGATTTCCATCCCCACTGTACAGGATAAAAGCTGAAGCCAAGGGACTAAAATCCCCACCTCTGGCTTTTCCATTAATTCTCTTTCCACCTCTGTACATGTTTTCTTAAAGTCAGGTTTACTGAAATACAATTTACATAAAAATAATTTTCTTTTTTTAGTGCACACTTTGGACAAATGTAGACTGTCATGTGACCACCACCAAGTAACTCCTCCTCCTGAAAGCTTACTTCATAGTGGCTCTGCATTTTCATCTCTGTATCATCTCTCTTTATCTTCACAGCAACACACCATGAGGCAGCAAATACTAGCAGTATTTGATGGCTGCTGAAAAGAGCCTCAGAGCAGCTCCATAGCTCAGAACTGCTACTAAATAGCAAGTTCTGTGCAGCTGACTCCAAAGCCCACACACTCCTCCTTGACCACTTTCAAGAAACAGGACATTTCTATCCCCCGCAAAATTCCATCCTGCCTTCGTAGTCATCCCCTTATCCCCCGTCCCTGGCAACCACTGATCTTATTTTCTCTCCTTAACAATTTTGCCTTTTCCAAAATGTCCTCTAAGTGGAATATGACAGTGGGTAGCCTCTTGGGGTTGGCTTCTGTCAGCTGACAGAAGGCCTTTGAGATGCAGCCAGGGTGCTGTGGGTGTTAGCCGTGTGTTCCTTTGTACTGTAGAGAGGGATTCTGCTGTATGGATGGATGATGGACCTGAGTTCATTTATTCATTCATTCTGTGAGGGGCATTTATGTTTTTTCCAGGTTTTGGCAGTGATGAACAGAGCTTCTAGAAACATTCATGTATAGGTTTTTGTAGGAGCATAAGTTTTCATTTCTCTAGGATGAATAGCTAGGGGTGGAATTCCTGGGGGTATGTTTAACTTTCCCCGAAACTGCCAAACTTCCTTCCAAAGTGGCAGTGCCACGTTTGCATTCCCACCAGCAAGGGTGAGAGTGGTGGTTGCTCTGCACCCTTGCCATCATCAAGTTTTGATTGCTTGTTGAAGACATACTAATTGGTGTGTCCTGGCATCTTGTTTTAATCATCATTTTCCTAATGATGATGCTGTTGTCCGTACTCAGTATTTCTGACAGTGTCAGCTGTGCAGGTAGATGTGAACGCTGTTCATAGTACATCACCTCTGTCTCTCTCCTCTTTTTAATTTGGTTTTAGATTGTAAGGTCTCCTTGTTGATGTGAAACCATGGGGAAGAGGGAAGCAAGCACTAGCCCCACCCTGAACATGTTTTAGGAACAAGAATGGCTTTGCTATTTATTTATTTATTTATTTTGGAGCGCTCTAGATTGAGGCCAAGACTCTGCTGAAAACAGGGGCGAGAGTGTTTGGATCGGCTGACAAGCAGTGAGGCACTGGCTTTTGCATGGAGAGGAAAACAGATCATTTACGGCCATGCATGCGAAGCCACTATTCTATTTTGTATCATCTGGTTTAGAGGCTTCCCCAGCTCCAAGGCCTGAGGGCCATGGCCCATTATGGAGATGGCAAACAGGCAGTTTCTGCACCTGGAGTTTATAATCTGGAAATGAGAATAGTTGCAGAGGCTGACAAGAAATGGGGAAAGAATTTTAATCTTTAATTTTTTCAAAGCAACTCTTTGTCTGCAGGCCCCAGCTTTTCTGCAGAAGGCACTGAGTCCCAAGCTAACCCTTTGGGTCATTCCACATGTCTTCTTGCTCTGGGGCAGCTTTTCCTGGGAACAGCTTCTTGGCATCTTAGCTCCAAGGGCGCTGCTAGATCACATCTCACATTCTGAGACTCCCAACTCTGCAAATCACTCAATAGAAAGTCAGGGATGAAAACAGTCATCAAAATGTTTACTTAGCAGCCCAAATATCAGCAACCCAGCAGTTGCTTCATGCTCCAGATGTTACCCTTCATTGGGGCCGCTGTGCGCAGAATGCCTGGTGTGGGTTGTTACAATGCAGAGCGAGCTCTGATGATGCTATGTATCCCTGCAGGGTGGGTGGGGTGCAGGGTGAGGGTGGATAGTGACACCAAGAGACCTGGGGGCATGCATGGCCACTCCCAGCACTGGTGCTGCTGAGGTCACAGGGAATCCCTCCCTCTTGGGTCCCTGCAGGCTCGCCATCTGGTTCCCTGCACATGGCACAGAGGAAGGGGAGACCCCATCACATACACACAACCCACAGACTCTGGGCTCCTGTGGGGGTCCCTGCAGCCCTTCAGCTTCTCACTATGCTGGACCTCTTCCCATTGTTCATGCAGGAAGGGCAGAGAGGGACTGGGATCACCGGGACCATGTGGATGAGGAGAAGCCGAGTCTCAGAGAGGGGAAGTGACTCAGTTAAGACACCACAGGGGCCAAGTTTGACCTGGACCCCTGCCTGTGACTCCCATCCTGGCCCCACTGCCCCCTCTGCCTCGTGGCTGTGTGAGAAGGCAAGTTTCTGCCTCAGGAGAGCAGAGCTTCCAACCTGGCTGGTCAGGGATGTGGAGGGCCAGAATGCCATGTGCCCTGAACCCATCCAAGCTGGGACACAGCACGGCCGGCAGGGAGGAGTGGTCTTGTCTTTTCCTGGAGGCTCTGGGACTCCCTGCAGCCTCCTGGCCTCTTGCTCTGCCAAGGCCATATTTCCCTGAACCCTTCCCCTAAAAGCCCACCTGTCCAAGAACCTTTCCAGGGTAGCAAGTCTTCCCCAGCCTGTGTGACCGGGTATAGTAGTTTGCCAAGCCCCTCTCCCCATCCTCAGCCCCAAGCAGCCACAGTGTGAGCCCAGCTGCCTGTGTGCACTGCTGGGGGTGTGCTGGGCAGCAAAGCCTGGGCTGTCCACAGACCTGGGGGCTTCTGCTCTGGTCACCGACTGGCGAAGGGACCCTGGCCAAGTCACCTCTCTGCTCCCACCTCAGTACCAGCTGTGGACGAAGGCTGCTAGCTTTGCTGTCACTGGATATCAGAAGGATTACATGAAGAGATGCATGTAAATGCCTGCACTAAGTAGGTGCCAGTAAATATGCATTCCCTTAATCCTAATAGTGACCTGTGCCAAGCTGACTAATGCTAGAGGGGCCCTGGTGAGAGAACCTGTTGTCATCCCCACTTTACAAATGAGGACCATGAGGCAGGGATGGGTCTTGCCACTTGGTCTAAACCCACTGTGTTCAAACCCCAGCAGTCTGGCCCCAGAGTCTGTGCTGGGAGCCAAACATGTCTGAGAGTAGAATCCCCAGGAGCCAAGGTCCAGACGTGGTGTCTGTTTAACAGGTTGATTTTTATGAAAAATGCCCTGAGCTCAAGTTCCCACAGTGGAGAGTGAAGTTGGGGGATGGTTGGGAAGCACAGGTTTGGATCCTGTTTTTATTTAAAATTTTGTTCATCATGGATTTCTTGACATTAACTTTGATCTCTAAAACTGTTGCATAAAATTATCATTTTTGGCACCTCCTTAAATCTTGTGAGGAGGTGAGTGCCTCCTTCATTGCCCTACCCTCACCCTGGCCTCGCCTGGGACTCCCACAGTGACCCTAAGCCCCGATGGGTCCCTTTTCACCCTGGATAAGAAGAGGCTGCTGGCTTGTAGGTGGGGCACTTCTTGAGAATGAGACGGATGAGAGTGTTTTTTTCTTGCTGTTCTTCACATGGCCTGCAAGCCTACTCCCTGTTTCCTTCTCTTTTCAAATAAAACTGGAGCAGGTGTGGCACGATCAGCAGATGAGCAGGAGGTGGGGCAGCTGCAGCTTGGCATTTGAGTCAGATGCTGCTGCCACGCAATTTCAGGGGTCCGCATTAGTTAGAAATCCTTGTTTATCAAAAATCTTTGCCGATTCAAGTGAAGGTGAGTCAAGTGTTTCACTTCAGCAAACGTGGCTTCTGCACTTCAGAGGAGAGCTGGGCGGTTTCTGATCCTTTCTCTGGATCTCCAGCTAAGTCCCCACCCATCGCAGTTCCATATTCTGCCTGATGCTCACTTGACTTGCCACTTGCTGGTCCTGAAGATGGGGCATGTTAGCATGTCCTCAGACATGGTTTACTGATAGAGCCAGTTAGTAAAGCCTGCAGGTGTGGCCACAGAATGAACTTTATATGGTAGAGACAACACTAAGCTTGCTGTTACCATGGCTTGGGGCTGGCTCTATTGGTGCTAGGGATGGCAGTTTGGTTGGACACAGTGGCTTTCAGAGTCCTGGGGAAATCCTAGTAGAAATCTTGGAGTGGGAAAAATGAACTTGTTCCAAAGAGGGGTCTAGGCGAGAGAGAGAGAGATTGAGATTTGGGTGCCATCAGCACGTAGGTTAATTCGTTCACGGATTCATTTATACTTTCATTCGTTTATGCAATAACATTTTATTGAGAATCTACTCTGTGCCAGCCCCTGCTATGGACATAACATCCTTGCCTTCACAGAGCTAATGTTTAGTGGATATGTGGCTCTCAGTGGTAATTAGAGCCATGAGAATAGCTGAGACCTCCTTACAAAGAACCCATGAAATGAGAACTCACTGGAGTCTGACTCCAGAACACCAGCTGCAGGGAGCTCTGCAGGAGACCGAGCCTCAGATGGAAACATACTTAGCTCCTCACTCTGCAGCAAATGCGCAGTGAGAAACAACAGAGATGCACTTGCTTTTGATTTTATTCTACCTGTCAAATTATCAGGGTTAAAAAAAAGGGTAATAAAAAAAGATTACACATAGGGAAGCTCGAGCTCTTGTACACTTATGTAGAAGGAATGTCTGTCCCTTGATAGGATTGGTGTTTCAGGAGCAGCCGTTTGGAAATATGGATCAAGAGGCTGGAAAATTTATCTATCTTTAGATCCAACTATTTCCTTTTAGAAATTCAGGAATGGATTAGGATTTGTTATTTTATCATGAATATATAAAAAAGACTTAGACATGAGGATTGTCATTACAGTATTTTTTTATAGTACTGAATAATTGGATATCACTTAAGTGCCTAAGTGTAAGGGCTTATTAAATAAACAAGCAACATTACTCTATGGCCACCATGCAGCCATTAAGAATAAAGGCATTGAGGATCTTAAGTGATGTGGAAAATATTCATGATGTGCTGTTTTGACTACAAAGAAAGTTATGGACTAATTTATTAAAAAATGGATTGAGAGAAGATATCTGTAATTTTCAAAACTAACAAAGGACCAGCTTCTAGAGTATACTCTCATGAAGCAGCAAGAGAAAGACAAGCAAGGAAAAAATAAGCAAAGGTTATGAGTAGTGAATTCACAGAGGAGAAATGCCAAAAGGCTAACAGGCATGTAAAGG
Source organism: Homo sapiens (assembly GCF_000001405.40). Lineage (NCBI taxonomy): Eukaryota > Metazoa > Chordata > Mammalia > Primates > Hominidae > Homo > Homo sapiens. The sequence goes on from NC_000010.11 coordinate 48,707,168, forward strand.
GATGCTCATACTCATTAGTAACTTAGAGAAATGCAAATTAAAATGACAATGCAAGGTCTCTTTCCTTCAATCAGATTGCAAACACTGGAAAGCTGGGTGATGCCAAGCAGGGTGGTAATGAGGTCACTGAAGAGCCTTCAGATGCTGTGGGGGAGATGGCCTGATGCCCGCTTTCTGGAGGCATCTTAGTTTGTGGAACTTAGTTGAACTGAGCAGTCATACTCCCTTGATTCAGTTCTGCTGCCCCTGCCTTCATACCCAGAGTCAGTCATGAAAGCCCAGTGAAGGGACCCACGCAGCAATGTCCACCCCAGCCCTGTGTGCTGGACTGAATGTTGTGGCTAATCCAGCCATCTATCAGAGAAAGCCAACAAGTAAAATAGGCATGTGATGCCCACTTTGGAACACAAGGTAGCAGTTAGAGGAAATGAACTTGACAAACACAGAGACACGTGGTGGAGTCTGAAGACATAATGCTGGGTGAAAGAGTAAGAGCAGAAAAGATGCAGAAGAGCATTTGCTAACTTAAGTGTATGTGGATGGAAATCAGGTGCTGTGTGTCATACTCTGTAAGTTCCATGCTGGTGGAATCATACTCACCAAGTGAGAGTGTGGGTGGGGTGGGGACACAGGGAATGCGAATGGAGAATGGAGGTCCTGGTGATAAAGAAATAAATGAACACAGCCAGACAGGAGCCCACCCAGATCAGGGAAAAGGCTAAGGGATGTGAGCAACTCCACACACTGCCTGCCCCTTAGAGTTAGCCCCCCAAAAGAAACAACTTAATCCCCCACAAAACCCCATCCCAGTGCCCAACAGAAGCAAAAGTATAAATAAAGTTTGCTTCAACAATATTATGATCGTGTTCTTACTAAACTATATATTCATAGATAGAAGCTGGAATGTCAGCAGTCATGTTTTCTGGGTATGGGCAAGCATTATGTTCTTCCTGATTTTTTGTTTCCTCCCAGTTTTTGACAATGAACTGACATGGCTTTTGTAATAAGAAAATTATTCCTGAAAATAAAGTCAGAGAGTAAGCAGTCTGTGTGCTCGAAGAGGAGCTGGGGGAAGGCTGGGTTCTGCACATAAAGAGTGAGAATGTTTCAGAGAGGGCTGGTTATCCTTGCCGGTGTCACGTGGCTAAACCCCATTCTAGCCTTCAAGGAATGTGTGTTTGGGCTAAAAATAAAGCATGATGTAACCCAACCACTGCTGTAGCCAAGAGGAAAACACTGGGAGCCCACTTCTCTATGTCCCTCTGGTCACTACTTTGTGATTGTTGAATGCCTGCTGGGCACCCGGATGGCTTCCTACGTGGTAATGTTGAGTTTGGTGAGGGCTTTTATTCAGGGATCCTGAACATTTTGGTCCCTTCTGAGAGTTTACTGAACTGCAGACAAACAAACAATAAACTATCCTATGTTATGGTGTAAGTCATAATTGACTGACAACTTTTGAAGGTGTGTACCTTTGGGAGGTCACTTATTGGTGAATTGGCCCTTGGCTGTTTTCATCGCATAAGTTTTTGTTCTTGTGCCTACTGGCTTGAGGTTCCCAACTTGCAAACACTGCTCCTGTGTGCACTTAGAGATGAGCTCTTGTAAGCTTGGGGACTTAAAGGGTCATTTTGAGAATAAAATACTCTAAAAATATCAAGTATAAACCAAATAATGCTTAGAATGAGGAATCTATCCTTACAGACCCATCATAGAAGGAAGTTCTAGATATAGAATTATGTGCCTCTACAAATACCAGTGAACTATTTACATCTCTTTTATGTATGCAGCCTTTTAAAAGAGAAGCAGCAACAAGTGAAAAAAAAACAAACAAACAACACCCCCCCCCCCCAAACAGGCTTTAGTGTGAAAGTTTGCATTTCAACTTGACGTCTAGCTGCCTGTATGCCTTTGGCCCAGTTTCCTTACTTACCTAGAGAGAATAAGAGCACACATCTGGCCGGGCGCGGTGGCTCACGCCTGTAATCCCAGCACTTTGGGAGGCCGAGGCGGGTGGATCATGAGGTCAGGAGATCGAGACCATCCTGGCTAACAAGGTGAAACCCCGTCTCTACTAAAAATACAAAAAATTAGCCGGGCGCGGTGGCGGGCGCCTGTAGTCCCAGCTACTCGGGAGGCTGAGGCAGGAGAATGGCGTGAACCCGGGAAGCGGAGCTTGCAGTGAGCCGAGATTGCGCCACTGCAGTCCGCAGTCCGACCTGGGCGACAGAGCGAGACTCCGTCTCAAAAAAAAAAAAAAAAAAAAAAAGAGCACACATCTGTCTGTGTGGCTGTAGGAGAGTCTGTCTGAGTCTTGTGTATAAGACCCCACAGTGCTGGGCACACACTAGATTGTGAACTTGTATTAATCACATCTAAATCTGAATCCCCTTTTTAAAAAGGCTTCCTTATTTTAGTCTGTTTCAGATTCTTAGGGGAACCATTTTCAATAGAAACTGGGCTGAGTGAGTACAGTACCTTATCCACAGCCAGAATCATCAGGAAGTGATGTGACAGGAATGTTCACTTCTATTTGTTCTGAATTCAGATCTGCTTTGCCACGGCATGGAGGCAGAAGATCTTTCAAAGGCTGAAGACAGAAATGAAGACCCAGGTTCCAAAAATGAAGGGCAGCTTGCTGCTGTGCAGCCTGATGTCCCACATGGAGGGCAGTCCTCCAGCCCCACAGCTCTCTGGGACATGCTGGAAAGGAAGTTTCTGGAATACCAGCAGTTGACTCACAAGAGCCCCATTGAGCGTCAGAAGAGCCTGTTGAGTCTTCTCCCCCTATTCCTAAAGGTTAGTGTTCTTATTTTTGAAACTGTAAGGTGATAGGCGCTCTGGGACACTTCTGGGATGATTGCATAGTGAAGTTGATGGTTTTAATGTCATCCCAAGTGGACTCTGATTGGTTGCTCAGGGGAGTGTTGTCTTAGTCTGCTAGGGCCACTATAACAAAATGCCATAAACTGGGTAGCTTAGATGCAACAGACTTATTTCTCATAGTTTGGAGCCTGGGAAGTCCAACATTAAGGCACATTAAGTGTCTGGTAAGAGCTTACTTTCTGGCTCATAGAAGGTGCCTTCTTGCCATGGCCTTATGTAGTGGAAGGGGTGAGGGGCCTCTCTCAGGCTTCTTTTATAAGGGCACTAATCCCATTCATAATGGTAGAGCCAAATTGTTTTCCAAAGGCCCTACCTCCTGACACCATTACCTTAGAGATTAAAATGTCACTATATGAATTTTGGGGAGACCCTAGCGAGAGTGTCATGCCAAAGATGACAAGCAAGGCTCATTTCTAGGGTAGGGAGGGACTTAGAAAGGACAGACAGTTAGCTTCTGAGTAATACTGTCTCTTTAGTTAAAAAATATTACATTGTTCCATCACAAACCCAGTTTGGGAGCTAGAAATAAGACCAGCTTCTTTGGGAGGGAGGAGAAGATGGTATGTCCTGACACAAGAGTCACACAGGTGGCTGGCAACCTCACACCCCAGGGATGCCAACACCAAGGCCTGGAAAAGCCAGAATATCTTGCATCAAATTGTGACAATAATGCAAAGTGAGGTAAAATCAGTGGAAAGCACCAGAGCTTCACTCACATCCCGGTCACAGCTCCACGAAGGAAACCAGCGCATCTACTGGGTCTGCACTCTAGCTAGTGGCAGCTGGTGACAGCTTGGCTGCAAGGGATTTCCTTTGTTATCTGGGAGCAATACTCCTGCCAGTGAGGTCTGCCTTATAGTTGAAGTCTAGTTGTAGCATTGAAAGCACTTTTTATAAGGACTTAGTGTTTACTTGACTATGGATTTGGGGTTATTTTTGAAAAGCGTATACCTACAAAATATTCAAAGCAGAGAGAACAAGAGCTACTTTTCACGTTTGAAAGTAGACTATGGCAGATGGAGGCTTTGGCATGTTTTCACTGCTAAATGCCTTTGTGAATATATTTCCTCTAACTTATTCATCAGAAATATTTAAGGGTTTCCAAAGATTACTTAGAATCTTGTTGGGAACACGTTTATAGGATGCATTCCATACTTAGCATTAAACAGTTGCCAAGTAACTCACTGTCCATTAATTCATCATTTTCCTCCATGTTTTGGACTTGTAGTCCCATTCATCTCATTTCACAGACTGCATAACTAGGGCTAGATTAGTAAAGATAGCTAAAGATTCTCAGCCCTAGCCCTGCCTGCCCTGACAGCCCCAGATTCTGGGAGGTGCGACAGTCTTACCCCAGTTCCCAGATCAACTTTGCCTTATGGAAGGGACAATGTGAGCAGTCCCCAGCCCCCAGTGCAAGTCACTGGCAATGGGGATGAGTTCAGCCATTACTGAGCTGCTAGTTCTCGGTGACACTTTTCCCACCTGCATGGGCAGCCCGGGCTCTGATGAAAGGACTGCACCCAAGAGCCAGGACTTGATTCTTCTTCACCTCCCTGATGTTTATTTGAGAGTTCATTTGTTTGTTGCACCAATATTTATTAAGCTCCTATACTCTGCTCTAAGGCCTGAAATATAGGAGTAAAGAAGACAGAGGTGACACACCACCCTCATGGTGAGTGTGGCCCAGAGCAGACGGCATCGAATAGCACACTGTGTATTTCATTTGGCCTGCAGGGGTTCAGAATGAACTAGTGGCCATTTTTTTTCAAAATGGAAAGTTTTCATATGAAAATCAGATTTCTAATTTATCTTGAAAATTTTGGTAGATCTAATACTGACGGTTGTATGGGAGGGGTTATGGGGTTCCCCAGCTAACCTCGGAGCTCACTCCAACATCTTTCACCCAACCCATATTACTAATGAATGTTATGTCACCGTACAGGCATGTGAGCTTGTGACTCCATATTTAAGTGTTACTATTATAAGTGAACCTTGATACTGGTCTTTGTTTTCCACACCCTGTCCCTATAATTGGAGGCATAATGACCCTGTTGTTGAACATGTGGGCTTTCTAGTCAAACAGATCAAGGCTCAAGTCCTGGCTGCATCACTTATTTATTAGTTGTGTGCTGTTGAGCAAGTTACCAACTATTGCTGAACCTCAGTTATCCATAAAGTAGAATTAATAGCATTTCAATGAGAAACCATGAGGGTAAGACAAGACAATGATTATAAAGTCCACAGCTCATGGAAAGTAGACATTATTCCCATTACTTTTCCACCAGCCTCCAGTGTACTTACTGCACATGGACTGAAGCCTTTGAGATTCCTGTCGCCAGGATTCCCTAAACTGCTGACACAATCTGCTACTCTGGATCCCTGGAACCCACCTCTGGCAAACCCTGCAGAGGCAGAATATTATAGGCTTCTCATAATTTTCTTAATATCTGTATTATTTTATTAAGTCCTACATGCCTATGAAACATGGTTTCTATTACATTCTGACGGACTAATAAAACCCTGCCAGAGCCAGAGTGCTCAGCCTTCTTAATTAATAGTTGGTGGTGGAAAGAAAGGTGGGGAAGATGGGAGATTTTTCTCAGGTGTAGTGCAGATCAAATCTAACCTGAGATGAAGCATGAGAACATTTACTGGAATATAGGCCCTTGTGTAAGAAGATAAGCTTGTAACCACTCTGTTCTGAATTTTATAACCACAAAGCAGTGTTCTTTAAGGTTTTCCATGAAGTTCCCCCTTGGAAATAACAGAACCTAAAATGTTATGCCACTTCTCCCGGAATGTGGCTGTTAACATCAAAGCCTTATACATGTATTGGTTGTCATGGAAATCATACTCTGCCTGGGCTCTGAGACTCCTGAGTACAAACAAAGAGTCCTGAACTCCCATGTGTGATGGAGCTCAACTCTATACCTGACTCTTCATTTTGGCCCAAAGAAAATTAATTAAGATTATTTGGAATATTCTTTGTTCCAAAGCAATGCACACAAGGGATTTTGAATTGTCACTTCTGCTCGGAAAGGCCATGTCCCTAGGGTGTGGGGTCTTGTCTGACTGACCCCCAGCCTCTTTGTCGGTCAGACTCTGCATGGAAGCGGTGATCTATGTTGTAGTTGGGGCTGGGTGAATCAGGTTGACAGCTGTGTGTGCCTCTCCTAAGTTGCTGTCACCTGGTAGCTTCAAACTTGTGAGTCTTGAGATTTGACAATGGGCATTGTCTTGTGCATCAGACTCCCTCAGAGCTACTTCTTTGGCATCTTCTTCCCAGAAAAGAACTTCCCGTTAGCCTGTTTGGTTTTCTTCCATATCTGACTCCTTCAAACACGAGCACTGAACTTTCCTCTATCCCTGTCTTTGTTTATACTTGAATCTGCAGTAACTGCTAGGCAAGTACAAAGGTGGGCTTGGTTTGTGGTACAGTGAATCCCAGCCCCACTGCCTCTTGAGTTGAAGAGTGGCTGCAGGGGTGCTAACCCAGTCAACATTTTGGCTATTGTCTAGGTAATAAGGAAGAGCCTAATGGGATCTCAACAAACTGGAACCCAAAAAGGGAGCTTCCCTGAGGGGAGGAGTGAGAAATGGGATTCTCATCCAGAACAGCAGGCTCCCTCCTCACCTAGGGTTCCTCACTCCTCTTGTTAGGTCAAAGAGTTCTTAGCCAGGGCAAGGTGAAGGATGTTTCAGTCCTGATCTAGGGTCAGATCCTTCCAACCTAGCCTCTACCCCTTTTCTTTTATTTCTTTTTAATATCACCCTATTCTTTCTTTGACCTGTGCTAAGCAACCTGTATATTAGAAATGAGACTAAGAGATGAAATGATGCCCTAGGTTCCAATACTAGCAAGGGGCAGAGCCAAGACTTAAACTCAGGCACCCTGATGCCCAGGTGAGCAGTTGCTTTCACTGATGATAGCTAGGTAATATCCTACAGGTTCTAACTAGCTAGCCAGACATTCTGTTCAGTGTTTACATGTCCTCACAATAACGCTGTGATGTAGGTAGTATTTTTATCCCAGCTTTATAAATGAGGAAAGAGAGGCTTAGGGATGTTGCATAACTTGGCCAAAGTCACCCAATTGTCAGCTGGTAGCAGAATGTCACCAGGGCAGTCTGCTGTAGGTCTGCATTATTAACCACTGGATGTCCTTGCTCAGTGCTGGGGTTTCTAGGATAAAGCAGGTCTGGTTTGTCTTTCCTTATTTCATGACTCACTGGACAATGGCTTTGCCTGGCTAAGACCTTGCCTTTTCCTTGGGCTCAAAAAGAATGTCTCCCCCACACATAGGATGTTTAGATTGCTGACTGTAGGATGTTGCAGATAAGGAGGAAGTTTTATTTCATCACATGGAAGCAACACAGAGCCAATGACTTCTGTGGTGTGCAGAGTAGTGTTTTTAAGAAAGACTCAATAGGCTGTTGTTCTTTTCCTGCCAAGAGCCTTGGGGTTTGGTCTTTTCAGAACCTTTCCCATCGTATGGTCTCACACCAAGGGAAGAAGGTGTTCTTCTAGCAATCATGGGAAGGTGCTGGTTTTGGGGGAAGAAAATCACTTGAGGTCCTCATTTTGCACAGAGATATCCTGTAATAATAGAAATGGGGAAATCTAGAGCTACAGAAGTAGCCAATGAGGTTTATTCATAGAATGTGGACTTTGAGAGAAAGCAGAAAGTAAAATAGAGAATCCTCAGCAATTAATGCAAAATCTATCAGTGTCTGAGATAGACAACTTGGGAGGTGGGACCACATTGGAGAAAAGGGAAATATGTGGATGTGGTAGATTAGAGGTGCTGTGAATGGGCTCACACTCCTCCCTTCAAGAGGTGGGATCTTTATCCCTTCCCCTTGAATCTAGATGGATTTGTATCAACTGGGCTAATGGGACAAGGCAGAAGAGACATTTCCAAGCATAGGCCTCAAGAGGCTCACAGCTTCTTCTGCCTCTCACTTGGCATACTCACTCCTAGAGTCTAGCTGCCATGTTGTAAGGAAGCCCAAGTAGTTCTGAGTGAACACCTGTGTGGAGAGGATCCAAGGCCCTGACCTTGAGGCTGCACTTGCTGCTGACTGCCAGCACCATCTTGTCAGCCCTGTGAGCACACCCACAATCTTGGAAGTGGATCTCTTAGCTCCCATTAGCTGCCCTAGCAGAATGGAGCACAGAAAAGGTGTCCCTGCTGAGCCCTGCCCACATTGCAGATCCATGAGCAAAATAAATGATTGCTATTATTTTAAGCCACTGAATTTAGGGGTGTTTTGTCATGCACAACAGGTAACTGGAAAAGTGGGTAACATAAGAAGGAATACATCCATTTCCTAGTATGAAGGGATTGAAATGAACACTAACTTAGTTGTATTTAGAGGTGAGTGTATTTTGGTGTTTGTGTGTGTGCATATGTGCACATTCCTAGGCTGACTACTAAGCCAATGGTGCAGAGTTTGTGATGTTGAGTATGATTGATCATTCTTGTAAAAACCAAGTGTGGATCTAACTGATAGTTGAAGAAAGATAAACACCATTAAATACAATAGCAAAGATGACCAAGAATTATTTTTTTATTTTTTTTATTTTTTGAGAGGGAGTCTCACTCTGTCTCCCAGGTGGAGTGCAGTGGCCCGATCTCGGCTCACTGCAAGCTCCGCCTCCCAGATTCATGCCATTCTCCTGCCTCAGCCTCCTGAGTAGCTGGGACTACAGGCGCCGGCCACCACTCCTGGCTAATTTTTCTTTTCTTTTCTTTTTTTTTTTTTTGTATTTTTAGTAGAGACGGGGTTTCACCATGTTAGCCAGGATGGTCTCAGTCTCCTGACCTTGTGATCCACCTGCCTCGGCCTCCCAAAGTGCTGGGTTTACAGGTGTGAGCCACCGCGCCCGGCCACCAACAATTATTTTTAGATGTGGTGTCCTGAGGGGACAGTAAGGGTAAGCCCTCCTCTTTGTCCACTCCTGACTCTACCCCATCTTGGAGTGGGACCTGCAACATGGTTTATTCCCATCTTCGGGAAATAACACTTTTTAGCAAAGTTTTGATGCGCCATTTTTTTTTCAACAGAGGAGAGGGTCTACTGCATCACACTCGCAGGGAAACTTCATGCAAAGTCTCAGAAATGTTTTGAGCTCACTTAAAGACAAACCTGCCAAACTCTGCAGTAATGGAGTAATAATGACATTTTGTTCGTGCTGGAATACCAACCATGTTCTCTTTGTCATTCAAAAGCTGGGTTTTTCCTCTCATCTCCCCTAGAGCTTAGCCATTCTTTATTTTCCTTTGGAGACCAGAGCATCATTTTCTTTCTCTTTCTTCCATGTGAAGGGACAGCCATGAGGCACGATGGTGCAGCTTAGATAATGTTAGCAAATAAAAGTTTTTTAAAATATTGAGCAATATTCTCCCAGCATGTAAGTCCCAGTTTGGGAAAAAATTAGGGCCTTTTGGAAGCTGCCTTAACTCTTTGGGGTCCCCATGGTACCATTTAGTAAATGATTGGCTCTGTGCATCAAACAGCACCCCGGTGGCCTGAAAGAGTTAACGCAGCTTCCAGAAGTGCCCATCGAGGTCCCAGGAAGGAGTCTGGGCCTTGGGAGATCTGGCTCAGAGTACAATTACTGTTCAGCTCACAGTGGCCCAATTTGCTTTATTGTGGAGTGCCTCCTGGAGTCCCACTGCTCCAGAGACGATATAGATGCTTCTGAGTCAAATGCCTGCAAATTGGTCTTTGAGGGGTTTGTCAGTGCAGGGAGGAGTTGCAGGGATTTGTTAGAAATACATCGTAGCAGCGTTCTCATTTCTAGGGAGGGAAATCATCTCGCCACAGAAATTCCAAGGCAAAAGGACAGACTTTTTCTCTCCAGGGATTAACATGTCTGAGTGGCAGTTGGCTTGCAGGTGGCAGCTATAAGTTTCGTAGATGTGCGAATGCTACTTTGGGTATGTGCACGCATGTGTGAAGTAATTCAAACCTTGACTCTGCCACTTAACTGATTTCTCTTAAACTCCGGCTAAGCCTCAATTTCTATAAAGTAGGCATAGTAATAGTACAAACCTCAAAGGCTTGTGGTGAGGATTAGTGGAGCTAATGTATGGAAGTGTAATGCATAGTGTAAGTGTTTGGCATGGCACTGAGGCCCAAAACATTTAGTCATTGTTACTGTGTATCGTGGGTTTCATATTCGTTTCATTCACTTATCAAGTATGTGTTGGAGGTCTGCTATGTCCAACAGTGTTTAACAGTAATCCAACATTTTGGTTGTTTTAGCAAAGTTCTAACCCGCTACTTTAAAAAAATTTACATAAGCAAATGCCAACCAAGTCTATTTATATAGTAGAAAAAATTCAGATCCATACAAAATTTTGTTCAAAACACATGAGTACTCACAAACCAGTATATAATAAATAAAACATTTCAGGTAAACCAAGCTCCCTGTGTACACATTCTATAGCTCATTCCCCTCCCTTTTCCTCCAATGGGGTTCTCTCTCTTGAATTTGGGGTGCCTCATTCCCTGGGTGGATGTTCACTTCTATTAGCTACATATAAGGCCATCAGTAACATGCAATCTAGTCTTACAGGTTTTTATAGACTCATACTGTAATATACTTTTACAACTTGCTTTTTCCAGTCAACATTCTATTTCTGGGATTCATCCATGTTGATGCATCTAGCTCCATTTGTTTTTCAGTACTATATAGTATCCTATTATATAAATATACCACAAATTATTCATTGTCTTATCAAAGCATATTCAGTAATTTTTCCCTCAGTTTTTCACAGCCACAAATAGTGCCAGACAAATATTTCCTGTCCAGTACATGTGCCAGCATTTCTTTAGGGAATATACCTAGCAATGAAATTGCCAGGTGGTAGAGTGTGTGCCCCTGTAACTTTATTGGATCAGGTTAAACCCTTCTTCAAAGTGTTCTTCCAACCGATACTCTGTCAGTAGCACATGGGGGTTCCTGTGATTCCCCCCATTCTCCTACGTTTGGTATTGTCAGGTATTTCATTTTTGCCAACCCAAAACATATAAAATATTGAGGTTTCAATGTGCACTTTATGGATCATTAATAATTTGTTATTTATTTTGTCTTACATAAATGATCTTTTTTTCAGTTGTCTATTTTGTTCTTTTTCTAAAAACAAGTTGTTTGCTTTTTTCTCGTCTATTTTTAGGAGTCTGGATACTAATCCTCTGTCAGTGGCACGCATTGTGAATATTTTCTCCCAATTTGTGGCTTGCCTTTTCACTTTGTTTATAGAATCTTTTAATAAAGGGAAGATTTTTGAAGGCTTTTATGTTTTAACAAGCATAATGCTACAGCAAGACACACATTAAAAATGTTTTTCCTCTTGGATTTTGAAGCCCTTCTTATCTTTCCTAGATGGAAGAGCTCAGCTTAAAAAAGAACTCATTCAGGTCTTTGAGCAGGAGCTTAAGCGAAAGTGGACGGTGGGTGGTGCTAGGTGGAAGCGGGGCAGCAAAACTGCCTTCCGTGGAGGCCACGGATGCCCGGAATGTGCACAGCAGCTGACCTTCCTGGTGGGAACTAGGCACAGGGAATCTCTCAAGAACTCAAGTCCTGGACCTAGGGCAGTCCCTCCACTCTGGCCATTGGTCTGGAATGAGCCCTTCTCATCGCACGACTAGGAAACTTAGTCAGTCCTACTTAGCCAGTTCTACAACACAGTAGAACAAAGAGAAAAGGCCATCTGCTCAAAGACTTGGATGAAAAGCGGACTTACGAACAGGGCTGCTACAGAAATAGGGAGGGAATTCTGAAATAAGTCTGGCATTCCAAACAGAATTTTAAAACTCATGACTTCTACTAAATAGTATCCTAAATAATAAGGGGAAAAGTCTGCAGAAAAAGGTGATCAGGTGGGATAGAAATACAGAAGGGGCAGATAAGAAAGAATTTTAAGGAAACTGAAAAAGAGATTAAAAACAACAACTCGGACTGGAGAAGAATTTTTTAAGCCTGGAACTAAAGCCAGAAAATGTAAGAATAGATTGAGAAATTTGATTTCATAGGAATTTCAGATTTCTGTATAGCAAAACCAAACAATAACAAATTAAAAGACAAAATGACAAACTCAAAATAACTGCAGTTATATTATGGCCTATCTAACATTTTTTATATACAAAGAGCTCTTTTAAATAAATAATAGTAAAATCCCTAATAAAGTAATAGGGTAAGAATAGAAACAGGCAATCAAGAAACATGAAAAGAGGTTATCCACCCTAGGAATCAAAAGGCTGCCATTGAGATGAGATATTTTTTCGCTTCTGAAGTTTTTCATTAAGGATGAGAGAGCACAGCGATGCTCAGTGTTGCCGAGGGTGTAGAGAAACCTGTCTGCTCACGGGAGGCCTGGAGAGTCTAATCTGCTCAACTTTGTCTGGAAGCTGAGTTAGTAATATGTACTAAAGTGCTAGAAAATAAAAGCACACTCTTTCACTTGCAATCCCACTTTTTGGAATTTATCTAAAGGAAATAATCAAATGACTAAAACTGGGATATCTGTACAGGATTTGAAATGGTAAATGAGGAGAAACAGGAGGGGCTGGGTGAGGGCTGAGGAAGGGAGAAACCTGGAGAGGCACTCCTGGTGCTCCTATGGGGGCAGCAGGCACCTGGCAGGGCCATCCACCGACGCCAGATGCAGCAGGCTGTGGGGAAGGCGGTGGACTGGGCTCTGTGTGTTTGACATCTTAGGGGCTCGTGTTCAGGTGGATGTCTGAGCAGTTAGAGAATCTGGAGGCGTTGGTATAGGGATGATGGTTGAGGCTGTGAGGGTGGGTGACGTGGTGGCCTTTTGCATGCACCTGGGAAAGGAAGTCGAGCTGTCAGCTTGGGCTGGTGAAGGGTGGCATGGCAGGCAGTGCTCATGCCCTGCTTGTGGCATTGCTATCTCTGACCAAGTCCCATCTGTTGCTTCAGGCCTGGGAACACTCCGTGGGGATCATCTGCTTTCCCAGTCTCCAAAGGCTGGCTGAAGACGTGTCTGACCAGCTTGCCCAGCAACTCCAGAAGGCCCTTGTGGGGAAGCCTGCGGGTAAGAGCATGGAGGTGCTGGCAGACCCTCTACAGAGAGCAGTGCAGCCCTGCATGCCCTCCCAGGCCTCTCAGGCCCCCCTCTGCTTTCGCGTGGAGCTACAGTGTTGCCTGCCAAAGAGAAGTAGGCCCCACTCTGCCACTGAGTGCCTTAGGGACCAAGGGAAATGCAGGAGGAGGGAAGAGGGGTCGGGGAGCCCTGCTGTTCCTGGGACACAGACATAGACAAACACACACACTGCACATAATACATTATACACGGACACACATAGACACACTACACACAGATGCTATACACACACAGACACTACACACAGACATTATACACAGATACACATAGACACACAGAGATACAGAGACACATACACATACACTACACACACAGACATACACACTACACACAGACACATACAGAGACTACTCACAGAAACTACACACAGACACACACTCTACACATGCAGACACACCCAGAACACACTACACACAGATATACACATAGGCACACACACACAGACACACTGCAACACAGACACACACACAGAACACACGGGACCACGGTCTCTGGGAGGAAGTGCTAGGATTGAAGATGCACCTGTGTGTTCAGTGGAGCTCTTGGTCCTGAAAAGACACAGAGGCCAAAGTGCATCTCTTGTGGGGCCTCCTGACTTGCATTCTTCCCCTCATGTGCGCTGGTCCCTGGAGGCAGGGCAGAATTTCACAGTGGCTGAGGGCCGAGGGTCAGGAGGAAATTCTGAGGGGAAGAAATTGCTCAGCATGGTGTAGATTTCAGGAATTCTTGCAGCATAAGAGACTGTGTGATCCAGGAAGTAGGGGGAGATTCTGGATTGTGGGGAGTCTGATAGCCGATTAGCTTGTTCTTACTCATTGGCAATCAGGAACCACTGATGGTTGCTAAACGGGGACGGTGGCACAAAAAACGCTGTCTTCCAAGGAGATTAGTCTGGCAGGGTGTGGAGCGTTTGGTAGAGATGCAGGTGGCCTTGGGGATGTGTAGGCAAGATGCCAAAGTCCTCTACAGATGCTCAGGCACATCTCCTGGGAAGAGGGGGCCCTGGATGGAGGGGAAGCTGAGTGGGCAGGTCGCTGTATGCCCTGCTGGTGACACTTTCTTCCAGAGCAAGCTCGGTTGGCAGCTGGACAGTTGCTGTGGTGGAAGGGGGACGTGGATCAGGATGGCTACTTGCTCCTGAAGTCAGTGTACGTGCTCACGGGGACAGACTCGGTAAGTTTCAGACCATCAGCCTCTGCCCTGGGCACTGCTCATCTAGGTGCAGAGGGAGGTCCAGCACAGGGTGGTGGCATATCCCAAGAGGGTCATTCGTTTCATAAAACAGGTTTATTATTTCTCCTCCCTCCTCCCCTTCTGGTGTAGAACATGGACTTCAGAGTCTGAAATTCCCACCTTCCCAGTTGACAAGCTGTGTGTAACTGTGGCCAGATTGCTTTACCTTTCTGCCCCTTGGTTGCATTTCTAATTTTAGGATTGGGGATAATAATGCCTCTCTTCTGGGGTTAGTGTAGGATTGATAACGGCTGATGTTTATTGACTACTTCCTACCTGTGGGGCAAGGCTGGGTGTGTCCCAGACATCGTCAGTTAATCCTCCCAAGGACCCTATGAGTCAGATCTTGGTGATGCCAGTGAGTGATGAGAACGCAGGCTTACCTACGCTGTGCACCTGCAGTCTATCTGATTCTAGAACCCATGCTCTGAGCCACTGTTCTTTATTTCTTCCTGTTAGAGTCAGCCTGAACGACATTCCCTGTAGGTACCTGTCTCGCCCTCGCCCAGAGATGAGGGCTCTCCTCTTTCTTCCCTTCCCACCCATACCCACCGCATGCCAGGAACACAGCAGGGAACCTGGGTGGCTGCTGCCCTCAGTGTAACTTCTCCAAATTCTTCCAGCTTCTACCTGCTAGCCAGTTCCAAAGCTGCTTCACTAGATGAACCCAGACATGAGATGGGCATTTGCAGCCGTGCTTGGAAGGGTGATAGGAGCACATCACGCAGCCCTTGTCTGGGGCCAGGGGGTGGTACATGACCTGGGAAGTTAACTGAAGGGAGGACCTCCTGACACTTCTTCAGGTGAACTGCCTGCATCACTGTCAGGCACAGCGACCTGAAGCACAGCACGAGGGCGCATCACATGTGCCCCTGGGGGAAGGACTCTCTGCAGTCTAAGTGGTGACACTTTAACCTAAGGGCTTGTTTTTCACTGCCTGTGCATGGTGCATCGGGGGTGAGGTGGGGGAAGGACAGGGAGAGCTGCCCTGAGGAGGTCAAGGTTAACAAGGAGTCAAATACATAGAAGACAGTACATTGCACTGTAAACCTTTCTGGCCAAGGCTAGGACCAGCAGCCTGCATCTAGTCCTGATCCTGGCCCAGACTGTACATTCGTCCTTCTCTTTCTCTGACTTCCCCAACATGTCTGTCAGGTTAACCAGTGGAATGGGAAGTTGCATGGACAGCATTCCATAGGTTGACCCCAAAGGTGTTCACATGTGTGCATGCACACACACACGTGCACACACACATGCACACATGCATCATGCACACACACACACGTGCGTGCGCACACACGCACACACAGAGGGTGCAGGTGCAGTAATCCTGGTGGAGCTGCAGGCAAAGCCCCAGGAAGAAAGACCCCAGGAAGCTCCTGGCAGGCTGGTCTCCATCTCTGCAGAGTTCCTGTCCTCTTGGCCTCTGTCTGGCAGCCCTGAGCTGTTTAGTTGAGTTGCTGGCTGTCTGATTGTCAGTCATCACCTATTGCACTCTTTGGACCTTGACGAGATCTGTCTGGGATCTAGATGAGAGGTTGGGGAGGGGCCTGATCAGGTCCTCACCATTGTTGCTCACACACATATTATCAGCCTCACCTCTGGACTGCTTTCCCTTCCTAATCATGAGGCCCTGGACCACAGTCACACAGTATGATTTGTTAGGAAGCCCTTATGTTCTAATTTCTACAGTCCCTCCCCTTTTCCCTCCTTTCCACCCTCCCTCCCTCCCTCTCTCCCTCCCTCTCTCCCTCCCTTCCTTCCTTCCATCTATGAATCTTATAAAGGAGCTATAGAGCACATAGTAAGCACTTTATATAAACTTAATCTTCACAGCCACCCTAGGTGCATCCTCTGGTTGTCAGCATTTCACACTTGAGGACTGGAGCCCAGAGGGACTGTCCCATGGCCTCACTGAAATGGCTGCAGGGGCCTGATCCTGGGTCTGGGCTGACCTGCTTCTGCTGCCTTGCTGCCTGGGGTCACGTGTGCTCTTCTCTTGCAGGAGACGCTGGGCAGGGTTGCTGAGTCTGGGCTTCCAGCCCTGCTCCTACAGTGCCTTTACCTCTTCTTTGTCTTTCCTCTGGACAAAGATGAGCTTCTTGAGAGTGATCTTCAAGTTCAAAAGATGTTCGTGCAGGTGAGTTCAAGGAGGGCCTCCAATTCCCTGGGTCAAAACCTCACTTCGGGGACAGACTCTCCAATGCTTCCCGTAGATGCTTTTGTCTTTCTCAGCCCTGGTTCCTGAACTCCTCTGTTCTCCCAGAGGGTCTAACCTCCCCCTCCCCTCCCCACCACTGCACAGTCTGCCCCACTAGCAAAATAGTAGCCAAAATTTTCTAAATATAAGCTTTGTACCCACCCCTGTGCCATGGCCTCACATGGGTCACCTCCAGGATTGCTGTCTGCCATCACAGGATGTAAATAGTGTTGTCATCCTGGGTCCATACAAACTGAGGCATGGTGAGTGAGCATGGGGTCTGGGGTCATAGAAGTCTTGGGTGGGGCTGGGATTGGCACCCTTGAGTAAACTTGAGTTTACATGTTCTCGGTGCCTCTTCCTTCCTCTCAGAAGACATCTCAGGCCTCTAAGCATCAAATGCAATTTCCTTCTGTCATTCCCCATCTTTCCTCTTCTCTTTGACTGACTAACTTCTCACCTCCTTCCCCTGCCCACTTCCGGGCAGTTTCTGCTTTCTCACCTTCTGAGACTCTGAGCTCTCTAGATAACCCTTCCTGCTCCCTGAGCTTGCAGGGGACGGTATGGAGGATCGTGTGGCCCGGGAGGATACAGAGGACTGTGGGGCCCGTCGCTGTGTGTCCAGTGTCTGCAGTGTCTCACACAGAGCAGGTGCCTGTGACTGTTCAGTGAATTCCCAAATGCAGCTGTCCATGGTACACACATGTCCACATTGGCATCCACATTAGACGAATTCCCAAGCCCATTCCTCATTTCCAGAGGGTAGTGCATGAGTTCTGGCAGGTTCCATTAACAGTGGGTTACCCTCTGAGCTGCATTTGTGGAAATGTAGGTGTCATCTGCTTGTATGTAAATCATATTCTAATTGGAGGCCAGGACGCTGCACCAGGCACTTTCACAAATGTTTACTGTGTGGCTTTTAGGTGCCCTGAAGGGAAGTAGTGCAGGGTCTGTCTTCGAGGTCTTCTGGGTATGTGGACAGAATGTGTGCCACAGGGAATAGACCATTCCTGCATTGCTCAAGGGTTTCTGTTACTTCATTTCACAAAAATATACAGAGCCCCTACTGTGCGCAGCTCTATGGCAGACAGATGGTTGCTGCAGCAAGCATAGGGCTTCACTTTGAGAGGTGACAGAAGGATGAAGAAGTCAAACAAGGGGAAAACAATCCAGGAATAAGTGTGTTGTTAGCAATTAAAAAAATAGAGATGGGGCTTTTCTCTGTTGCCCAGGCTGGAGTGCAGTAGTTAGCAATTTTTTAAGTGCTATGTAGGTAAAGCCAAAGGTATACTGGGCAATGATGGTGACAGGCTTTTATTTGTATGAGAGAAATCAGTGGAGTCTATTCTGAGGGCATGGCATTTAACCAGAGAGCTGAGGGTTGTCAGGGTCTGAGGAGGTAGTGTGGCCGGGTGGGGTGGAGGAAGTGGAGAGGAGCAGAGAAATGGCAATGCAAGCCCAGGGACAGGTGAGACCTTGGTCACATGGCCACAGCTACCTGCAAGGGAGGCAGGGAAATGGGACCTACAGCTGTGGTCCATGAAGCCCAGCTTCTCTCTGTATCAGACTAGAAGGGGAAAATGTCTTCCCATGGAAGTAGCTTGTGATATTTGTCACACTGGCAGCAGGTCCTGTTGGACCCCCAAGAGCCCAGGGGGGAGCTGCAGTGGATAAAGTGAGTGAGAAGGCAGTGCTAGTCCATGCAGGATGCTATGGGCCATGCTACGGTGGTGGGATTTTATCCCAAGTGGAGAGGGAGGTTTTGCAAGTCCCTCTGTTAGCCATCAGGAAAGGGGATTGGCGGGAACAAGGAACCCAGTTAGGAGGCTTTATGCTGACTCTTGTGGTCTCATGGAGAAGTAGAGTCTGAGTGTCAACAAGGAATTCTGAAACACTTCCCTTTTTAAATAGCACAAGGTTCTGTTAATTCTATACCTTAATTGTGGGTGACATTTTCTGGTATTCCCATTAAAAAGACACAAATTCAATTACTTCTTTATTATTCTGATTTGGAAGGGATAACAATTACTTGTATAGGGTTAATGCGGTCAGAATTGAGCCCCAGGCCCTGCCACCCTTTCCTAGGGGGCTCTGTTGACCCTGCTGGTCTGGGACAGAGGGTGACCCCATTCAATCCTGTCCTTCTCACAGAGACATGCTCATCAGTGCTCCAGAGAAGTAGGGAACAAATCCATCTGAGGAAGGAGACTTCCTAACCAGGTCTCCTTGACTGTTTATCTTCTTATTTTTCAGATGTTGCTCAATATTTGCAGTGACTCTCAGGGCCTGGAGGGACTCCTCTCAGGAAGTGAGCTGCAGTCTCTGCTGATTGCCACGACCTGCCTTCGGGAGCACAGCTGCTGCTTCTGGAAGGAACCCACCTTCTGCGTGCTAAGGGCAATCTCCAAGGCCCAGAACCTCAGCATCATCCAGTACCTGCAGGGTATGGCCCGGGAAATTAGATGTGGGCTGTGGGCCATGCAAGGGCTTCCCTTGAACTCAGAGCAAAGGCTGAGGGCCCACTTTCTACAATGAGACTTGGGATGCTCTTGCAGCCTCTTATAGAATTTTGGGACCAAAGAAGAGATGAATGAGCAGCCATGTCCGGTAGATAATTCTACATGGCTTGGCTCCCTTCATGTAAGTGCTTTTCTTGTTCATTTTGCTGCTCCATTGGAGAAAGCAGGGAAAGAGGATCTCACTATGCACACACTACCAATCAGACACTGTGCTGGGCCCCTTTGTACATTATCTTGCTTGTTTCTTTGAGATAGCTATTAATGCCATTTTAGAATGGGGAAAATAAACATTAAGACTAGTAGAAGAATTTTTCAAGGCTATTCACCTAGTTAGGAAGAGAATGCACTTTCAAACTTAAAGATGCCTGATTCCGGCACCCTCATTTATACACTGGGAACTATGTGTAGGGGTTAAGGCCAAAGACTCTGGAGCCAGACAGCCAGGACTGGACTCCAGCTCTGTCCTCGTAGCTGAGTGATCTCAGGCACTTAACCATTGGGGTGCCTCAGTTCTCTCATCCGTAAAGTGGGGATAATAATGCTGCTGATCTTATTGGATTGTTGTGATTCTTTGCGGCTCTTCTGAGTCCTTGCAGCTGAGAGGCTGAGCTTGCATTATCTCAAGCTCTCATAGGTACTTTCTCTGATCCACTGGATTGGCTTCCCCAGCACTCAGAAGAGGCTTCTCTTGATGAGAGATTTCTAAAAACAGTGACCCATCCAAATGCAAATCTGAGGACCTCTCTCTTCAGACTCAAATCTTCCCCTGGCTCCGCACCACTCTGGTGGGGTAGCCAGTAAGCCCCATGGCCTGTCCCCTAGGAATGGGCCACACCCTCCTTCCTCTCTGTGGGCCACACTTCAGTGTTCCAATCCCCTGGCTTCTTCAGTATCCAAAGCACCCCATCTTTTTACCCTCTGCCTCCTCACATGTTCATACATCCTCCCCTGCATTTTTCATCAAGGTAATTTCTGCTCAGCTCCAGCATTGCCTCCTTAAGGTCTGAGATGAGCTCAGGTCTTGCATTTTACATCTCACTACCTAATGGACCTGGACTCCCCCTTCTTGCTGAGAATTAGGGACAGAGGGCTGAGGGGCTGCCTTCCTCTCCTGTGTCACCTGCTGGGCTTGCAGAGTGCAGCTGTCAGGATGGCACTTTCTCTGGGGTGGTCTTCCTGATCCAAGAGCCAGCAGAACATGTTTTGGATTAATTCCCATTCATGTCTTGACATGTTGTTTGGAGTAGGGGAGGTAGGTGGACCATGGCAGGAAAGCTCTTGCTTCCAAGCTCAGCAGGTCTCTCCTGTGCTTCCCTCCTGCAGCCACAGACTGTGTCAGGCTCTCCCTCCAGAACCTCTCCAGGCTCACGGACACTCTCCCTGCCCCTGAAGTGAGCGAGGCTGTAAGCCTGATCTTGGGATTCGTGAAGGACTCCTACCCCGTCTCCTCGGCTCTGTTCCTGGAGTTTGAGAATTCAGAGGGCTATCCTCTGCTGCTCAAAGTGTTACTTCGGTAAGTGGCTGTGTTTGGTACGGGGAGAGCACAGGACCACCAAAGCCTTAGTCCTCAGAATCATTGGGGTGCTTTGCAGAAAAATAGATATAGCTCCATAGAACATGGCCAGAGAGACCTCTTATTTGCAAAAGTGATTCATTGTGCAGACAGGCATGGGGACCACTTCCTTAGAGAATCAGTAGTTTTACAAAGTGTACTTGTAGGCACCTGTCACCTGCATGCCTGCTGGCCTGATTTTCCCCGGTCAGAACCCAAACAGAAGCCCTGTCTGTTGGAGGGCTTCTGGCACTGCTGTAAGCTGCCCTGCCTGTGTGCTTGGAGGGCTGGAAAGGTCTGGAAATGAACCACCTTCAGGAGCAGCTGCCCACCAATGACTGAAGGTGCCAATGGGTGCACATCCAGCACAGCTGCCCTTGGGTGGGCTTGCTCTGCATGGCCTCCAGAGCTCCCCAGAAGGATTAGCTCCAGTGGCCCCATGAGGCGCTTGCTTGCTAATGCTCTTGGACTGGTTTCCTTCCCTTCCCTGTCTCACGTGGCCTCTCCCCTACTGGTGTTTTCTGGGATCAACTCCCAAGTGAACTACCTCTTTCTCAAATCCTTGAAACATGGGAAACCCAAGCTCAGACACCGTTCAGCAGGGCCTGGGCTGGCTCCTTGCCTTCCACTCTGCCTTCCTGTATCATCTTCGAGTGGGGCCCAGGGATTACAGACAGCAAGGGATGGAAATCAAAGAAATGCCTTGATGGCCCAAGCTCCTCTGCTGATCTTGGGGAAGCTGCTATAGGGCAAGGCCACATACTTTCCCTTGGGCTTTGCT
Organism: Homo sapiens; assembly: GCF_000001405.40. Lineage (NCBI taxonomy): Eukaryota > Metazoa > Chordata > Mammalia > Primates > Hominidae > Homo > Homo sapiens. The sequence continues at coordinate 48,728,480 of NC_000010.11, forward strand.
GGGCGAGAATGAGACACCCTCCTCCTCTGAGGGGTATATCTACTACCGCACTTCACACACTTCACTACAGAGCCAGGCTTTGAGCCTACATGCGGTGACTTGGACAAGGGGGCCAAAGTCCTTTGGTCCACCAAGTGTCCAGAAGGATGTGATTAAATGGCAATACCCTAGTGCCTTCCTCCAAAGGGACGCTAAGTGTAAATGCCCCTCTGGGCACATCACATTTTGCATTGGTCTGGGCTGTGACCAGCTGACTATGATCCCCACGGAGGTCTGTGTCATAGCATTTCCTGAACAAATTTTTGGTTCATTGGGTGTTGAGTTTTCCCCAGAATTCTTGTGGAAGGCAGGAGAGGGGACAGAAACCTATTCCAGGGAGTGCCAAGAAGGTCCCACGTGGGCTCATTGGCTTTCCTTTTTGCCTTAACTGAAGTCACGCTGCAAGAACTTTTCCTCTGGAAATGGCAGGGCTGGAATAAGACTTGAGATGCCCTTCTCCACAAGAGGAGCAGGACAGCCTACCTGCCCATAATTAAAATACAAAAGCCACACTCAACCTTTAAATAAGCACAAGGAAGTCCGACTATTTCCCACACCATTTTGTTGCAATGTTGAACTATTATATTACATCTCTCCTTTGGGAGGTGCCCTGATCTGCTGATGCCCTAACCACATGTCTTTTGGAGGTTCAGTCATGGAAAGTGACTTCCTGTGAGCAGATGGCATAGCTTTTCACAGGTTACAAATGCACTTCTTTGGATCTAAGACTGACATCTGCAGAGTGGTGTTTATCCAGGGCGCTCCCTTGCCTCTGAATTGCCTCAGGTGCAGACCTGTGGGGTCTTCCCCAGCTTGCAGATCCCCATTGGCTCTGTCTCCTTGAGAGCACCATGCACGCATGTGGCTGCTCCATCTAGGAAGTACAGGGAGCTGGCCTCATCTGTTCCCCCAGGTATGATGGGCTGACCCAGAGCGAAGTGGACCCGCATCTGGAGGAGCTCCTTGGGCTGGTGGTGTGGCTGACAACCTGTGGGAGGTCAGAGCTGAAGGTGTTTGACAGCATCACTTACCCTCAGCTTGAAGGCTTCAAGTTCCATCATGAGGCATCTGGTGAGTCTTTCCTGTGTCTGGGTGACCGGAAGAGTCAGTGCTGAGCCCTGAGAAGGCTACAGAGGGTCTTCTCCTGATTCTTTGTGTACCTTTCAATGGTGCAGTAGGCTCTGATTCTGTCACAACCTTTGGGGAGGTTATGAATATCTCCCATGGGACTTAGTGGAAACATTGCTTAATAAAGGCAAAGACTCTCTCAAATAACGGAGGCAGCCTCTACTTCTCTCCCTCACCCCTGGGGTGATTTACTCTGCAACATTTGCTTATATAATGGGGACTGATGGCCCTAAAACAGCCATCCAGGTTCAGAGTCAGTGACTTCTCAGTACTTTGAGACATTGATTGATTGATGAACTCAATCAGCAGGCATGGATACTTTCTGTGTGGCAGGCACTCTGCCCCATGCTGGGTGCCAGTGTGAACAGGCCAGTTGTCTGCTCCCTAAAATTCCTCTGTAGAGACTGTCACATGTCCTTGAACCCTAGTCTGCTGGAGAATCGGCTAAGAAATGCATCAGGCACAGCCATGACCCAGCTCAGTCAGGAAACCTCGAACAGAGGGCCTGCCGGAGGGAGTTTTTAAGGCTAAGTGTGGGTTGTCTAGGTTGAGATGAAGGGAGAAAGTTTAAAGGCAGAAATGACAGTCTGGGGAATAAATGGTGGCCTGGAAGGCTGGGTGAGTCTGGGAAGTGAGAGCTTCTGCAGAATAGAGGCAGGGAGGCTGCAGTGCTGCAGAGTTCAGGTTAAGAAGGGCCATTGGATGGGATGCAGTAACACATGGGGCACAGACATGGTTTAGGGGAGTGCCTGAATCAGACAGGAGTTTCACAAACATCTCTGTTATCTGAGGCAGAGAAGGCTGGAGGCAGGGAGCTTTCTGACAAAGTGTCTCCTGGGGGAGAGAGAATGAGGCTTAACCTTCAAGCTGGAGGAAAAGGTAGGGGTGGGTCAGGAAAGTGTAATTATTTATCAGCTTGTCTAGAAACAAAACTGATTTTGCTAGTAATCTCCAACATCATTTGATTTTAATCCGCTGAAACCAATCCTCCTAGCCCAATGCTCTCCAATGGAAATACAATGCAATGCACGTTATATCATTTTAAATGTAAATTTTAACTTTAAATAAGAAGAAACAAGTTAAATTATTTTTGATAATATATTTTATTTAACTCAATATATCCCAAATATTACCATCTCAATGTATGGCCAATACAAATAATTGTCAACAAGATATTTTGCATCATTTCCTTTGTATTATCTTTTTGAAATCTAATGTGTATTTGATGTTCATGGCACATGTCAGTTCAGAGTGGCCACAGTTTGAGTGCATCTTGGACCATGCTGCACTAGCCTTCTTCATACCCCAGGTGGCTGGCTTTTCTGGACTTCTGATGGACATGTGCCCATAGGAGTTAGAACACAGAAACTTCAAATGGCATGCCCTCTTAGTAATGAAAACATCTATTTGTAGACACAGGCAGGAGAAATGACTTGTAAGATCATTCTTGTTTTCCTCCTCAGGGGTGACTGTTAAGAATCTTCAGGCCTTCCAGGTCCTACAGAATGTTTTCCACAAAGCCAGTGACTCTGTCCTCTGCATACAAGTCTTGTCAGTCATCAGGACCATGTGGGCCTGGAATGCTCGAAACTTCTTCCTGCTGGAGTGGACCCTGCAGCCCATCTCGCAGTTTGTAGAGATCATGCCCCTGAAGCCGGCCCCAGTGCAGGAACACTTCTTCCAGCTTCTAGAGGCCCTGGTGTTCGAGCTGCACTACGTGCCTCATGAGATCCTGCGAAAGGTACAGCATCTGATCAAGGAGAGCCCTGGGCCATCCTGCACCCTCATGGCCCTGCAGAGCATCCTCAGCATCGCTGGTGGGGACCCCCTCTTCACCGACATCTTCCGGGACTCAGGGCTCCTGGGCCTGCTACTGGCACAGCTTCGGAAGCAAGCCAAGATCATGAGGAAGTCAGGTGCCACTGGGTGCATTGGGAGGGATGGGCAGGGGTCAGTGTCAGCCAGGCCTGACCTTTGGGCCAATCTGGCTGCCCATCAAATGCAACAGAAAGTGAGCATGCCCATGTCACTGGGAAGGTATGCTTGGGACACACAGTTTCACAAAAGACAGGCAGCCACCCAGTCTTCCCAATGAAGAAGTGAAAGGGATGGGTGAACCTGGGGCTAACTCAGGCCTTGTGAATTCCCAGGTTTTAGATATCTCTTGTCCTAGACATTGTGTGGGTGTATAGACAGGGAGACTGCAGGGGTCTGACAGCTCCTCAGGAATGGGAGCTCAGAGAGGCCTGAGGTTTGGGGGCCCTCCTGGGGTCTGCTGGGATATGGCTTCCTAGCTCACTCTGTTCACTTTGCACTGTTGGCTCAGTGGTCTCCCACTGGGAGAGAGCTCCTTGGGGTCTTGCGGGCCCAGCACGCCCCTCCAAGTCTTGGTGCCCTGCTGGGCTGCATACCTGTGGCTCCTTGGCAACATTCCCTTGCCCCTACTTGGCCCCTGCACCCTGGAGTCTCAATCCCAATAGCCTCTGCTGTCCCCTGAGGCTTTAGGGTCTCATGAGGGTGCTTGGTGGCTCAGGGGTTGGGCTCTTGCACTGCCTCACCATGCTCCCCAGCACATATCCTGCTGGAGTCACTCTATGTGGTGGTCTTTAACTACCATCTCCGTTGACTTTCTGATAGGAAGCAAAGTGTGGAAACTCCTTCCCCAGCTCCTCTGGTCTTTCCCTCAGTCTGTCTACACCTGCTGCTCTGGGAAATCAGCCTGGAAGAGGGACACCAGGACACAAGAATCTGGATGCTTACTCTGCCCACCTTCCCTCCTTTCATTCTCCTTCTCCCACTGCACTGGCTGGAAGGGTCAGGGAGCTCTCTAGCCTTTGGCTGCTTCTGTAATTCTGCTTCAGACTTAAGCCAAGGTCACCAGTCTGTCTGTTTCCTGGGCCTCTCTGAGGGAAAGGAGCTAAGGGCTGGAATCCTGGCCATGCTACTGACAAACTGAGTGATCTTGAGAAAGTGACTTAACCCGTACGAGCCGTGTCTTCCTCGGTAAAACAGGGTAATGATGTTGACATCATTGGAATGTTGTGAGATTTTAACGAGGGAATCTCTGAAGAGGACCCACTGCTGTGCCTGGTACATAACAGGGGCTCAAGAAACATCAGTCGCCTTGTCCCTATAGTTCCAGTGCTACTGCCATAGACTGAGACAGACACCCAGGGAGGAGCTCAGGCGTCTTATGGAGGCCAGGATGGACCCAGCTCCTCCCTGGGAGTGTTTGCAAATAGGATCAGGACTGCGAAGGATGAGCCCAAGGGATGGTTTTTGTGTCTGGGCCTCTGGGCCAAGCCCTGGACAATATTTTATGAGTTGCTTTCTACTGCTTAGTAACTTCTGTCCTTAAATCCCATCTTGAATGAAATTAATGTATTGCTTCATCCGCTTTCCTTGGTGTTTAAATGAGAAGTCTTTGCACCGTCTCTTTGTTTGGTGGTTCTGTCTTATCTTAGCTGGTATTTCTTTTCAGCAGCCTAACATTGAATTTGCTTTTAAATGCAATTCCAGACCCATGACCACTCCTAGGAGAAATTAAACTTTTTTGTGAGCTCATGCATCTAGTCTTACTTCATACTTTCTATTGTTAAATGTGTCTTGTTGTTTCTTAGATACTCTGTCTCCTGGTTTATAAACTCTATTTTCATTCATTCATTCATTCATTCATTCCCCAAATAAGTATTGAGCTTCCAATTTGTGTCAGGCACTTTGCTGGCATGGGGATTCAAGGTGAATAAAGAGATCTGATTTTGCCCTCATGGGTCTACTGGGATCACCTATTTACTCCAGGTTCTCTTGAGCTTCCCCATGACTCAGGAATGAGCAGGCAGTCATCCCTCCCAAGGATGCATGGCAAACTGTAAAAGTGGCCAAAGGAAAATTAAGAAGGCAGGGCTCTGTGTATCATCTGGGGCAATGCTTCTCAAAGAGCAGTCCCTGGACCAGCCCCATCAGCATTGCTTGGGAACTTCTCAGAAATGCAAATTATAGAACCCCATCCAAGAACTACTACCTCAGAAATTCTGGGGATGGGACCCAGCATGGGGCTCCGGGTTTTAACAAAATAAGCCCTGCAGGGAATGCTGATGTGCTCAAAATGGAGAACCCCTGCTGTAGGGGTAACAGCCTTCTATCTTACTAATTGGGATACACACTCCCTTATGATGAAAGCATTATATTCACATCTCCTTAAGAGGATAGAAAGCTGGAGTCAGAGATTTGCGGTCATACCACATGTACTTAATTTATTTTGTTATTTCTTCTTCAATATGGCAGGAAACAAAGTGTCCACTCCTGGTGTTCAGGATCCAGAAAGAGAACTCACCTGTGTGATGCTGAGGATTGTAGTCACACTTCTGAAAGGCTCGGTGAGGAATGCAGGTAAGGATGGTGCCAAGTTTGCCTCATCACTGCTTGGTAAAACATGAACTCTTTCCTGGTTATTTATGGCAGTGTTCACAGGTTATACTCAAGGAGTAACCAATACACAGCGTTAGCTGTGGCTAATGATCCTCTCTTGGCCGATGTTCAGTGATCATCAGTAAATTCGTAGATACTATACCTCTGTTGACACTTTTCACTTCTAAGGTTGCTAAATAAAGTTGGTGACAAAAAGACTATGCTCAATCTAGCATTTTCTAAATTTATGAGAAAAATTTATTAGTGTCCTGCTGCACTGACTGTAGATGCTTTTTAATTTTTTTTTAGATCCAAAGAGTAACATACGGGCAAAGAAATCTAGCCATTTTAAAGAAATGCAATTTGTTGTGCTCTCATCAGACATGATGCACTTAGCAATGTAATCCATTCAAATTTTCTTTTAGCGTCCTAAGATCATGTGGCTTCTGGGTTTTAAAAATAATATGTGCATATATATATATATATATATAATGACATAGACACACCAACATCATATCAGTGGGTTTGGTGATTTAGGCATCTTTATCTGAGGCCTTCACAGAGTAACTATACCTAATGTAAAAAATTATTTCATTATGGCAGAGAGAGAGTCTTTAACATTTAGTCTGCAAAAGGTTCCCCGGAGGTGCTGGCTAAATGCATATTCCTAGGCTCACAGCCAGACCTTTAATTAATGGTCAGTCAAGGTGGAGCTCAGGAATCTACTTTTTTTTTTTTTTTGAGGCAGAGTCTCACTCTGTCACCAGGCTGGAGTGCAGTGGCATGATCTTGGCTCACTGTACCCTCCACCCTCAGGGTTCAGGCAATTTACCTGCCTCAACCTCCCGAGTAGCTGGGACTACAGGCGCACGCCGCCATGCACGGCTAATTTTTTTTTTTTTTTTTTTTGGTATTTTAGTAGAGACGGGGCTTTACCATGTTGACCAGGCTGGTCTCAAACTCCTGAGCTCAGGCGATCTGCCTGCCTCAGTCTCCCAATGTGCTAGGATTACAGGCGTGAGCCACCACGCCTGGCCAGGAATCTACTTTTAAACATGCTTTCAAGGTGATTTCCATGTCAGAGGTACCTAGCCCATAATTGGAAAAATCCTGTCTGCTCAAATCTCCATCAAGCCATTTGAAGGATCCAGTTGCCTCCTAGTTTTTATTCCACATGGATTACTCCAATATCAATCCTGGGGAAAAAATGCTTGGAATTACTTTTAAACAAAAATATATCACCTGTCAGGTTTCTTTAATTTTCTCCCCAAGGAACTATCTAGAAATTAAATATATTCTTAGCTTAAATTGTGGTTTGCTTTCTATATGAATTTTGTCAGAGAGAAGACAGAAAATTGTCATTGGCTCTGGGGAAGAAATTATGGGGAAATCAAGGGAGAGGTAGATCTAGTTAAAGCTTTTATTACTTAGGTTTCTATTTTTTTTTCTTTTTTTACCCCAGGAATTCATGACACTATTATTAACTTTAGTCACCATGTTGTACAATAGATCTCTTAAACTTATTTCTCCTTTCTTGAATGTATCTCCTATGGGGAGATGTTAGTCATTTTTTTTTTCAAAAATAAGATTCTCATTGGAGAAGAAAGCAGTTTTTTAAAAAAATCATCAGATCCACAGTTTCTTTTTTCTGCTTCTCACTTTAACAGTGGGTATGGGTTACCAAAAAATCTACCAGTGAGCAAAAGAGAAACAAAAAATAGCAAAATGAAGTTTGAAAATTATAAGACAAAGCTTTTCTTTTGATTGAAACTGAAGTGGCAAGCTTCCCCCTTGCCCTAGCCCCATTCTGTCTGTCTGATCCTTAGTTGTCCTGAAGGACCACGGCATGGTGCCCTTCATCAAGATCTTCCTGGATGACGAGTGCTACCGGGAGGCCTCGCTCAGCATCTTGGAGCAGCTCTCAGCCATCAACGCCGAGGAGTACATGAGCATCATTGTGGGTGCTCTATGCTCATCCACTCAAGGGGAGCTGCAGCTGAAACTGGATCTCCTGAAGGTGATTTCAAGTCCTCCTTTGAGATTGGCTTCCCTGTGGATATGCACCAAGCGATCCACATTTGCTCAGGCATTTGTATTCATGTAATTCAGTTAGCCACTGTATGTGGCAGGCAGTACCCTGTATTAGGTAGCGTCAGGTGCTGTAACAAATAAATCCCATATCCTCAGTAGCCTGGTACATTTGAAATTTCTTTGCAACATACAGTCCAGTCAATGATTGGTGACTGTCATTAAGGAACTACCATCACCTGGGCATCTAACTTGGCCAGCAGACAAGGGAAGAGAGACCATGGGGAACTGCATAAGGCATTTTCATTCAGGCCTAGAACTGGCACGGGTTATTTTCTGTCCAATTTTCTTTAGGAAGAACTTTGGGCAGGACTCACCTGGATGCAAGGGATGCTAGGAAATGTTTTCCCTGGCTAGGCAGCTACTTCCCACAACACTGTAAACTATGGAAGTGCAGCTCAAATCAGCAATGGCCAAGTAGCTGCCTTGTTGATCTGATGAGCATTTATTGAGCATCTAACCCATTACCAGGGCTGATGAAGAGTACCTGGGGCTTATAGTCAATTGTGATACAACCCTTGCCCTCTGGGAGCTCATAGCCTGTTTCTAATAAGTAAGCAATAGTTACATTGCAGTGTGGTGGGTGCATTGGTTAGACACTGAGGGCAGGTTGCTATGGGAACACAGAAGTAGGAGAGACCAATGCTGCCTTACCTGGTTGAGGAAGGCCCACTGGGGAGAGAACCTGTGAGCTGTGAAAAAGAAGCAAAAGGCAGTCAGAGGTGTGGAAACACGGGGCACAAAGGGACAAGTGAGGCAGGGTTATCATGTTTGGGCAACAGAGATATAAGTGTATGTGTTTGTAATATTGTTAACATTCATCAATTTATCTTAAAATAGTTAAATACATATAACAAATATCATTCTTGCCATCTCTTCTGCCTTACAACTTTCACAGTTTTGTTGCTGTTCCTTTTTTACATAGCTTTTGTCTTTGTGAGTTTATGACTTTTAAAAAGGATTGCTTGAGTGATCCTCCCACCTCAGGCTCCTAAGTAGCTAGAACTATAGACATGTGCCACCACGCTTGGCTAATTTTTGTATTCTTTGCACACAGGGGGTCTTGTTATGTTATCTAGTCTGGTCTTCAACTTCTGACCTCAAGCAGTTCTCCCACCTCAGCCTCCCAAAGTGCTAGGATCATAGGTGTGGGCCACCGTGCCTGGCCAACACGCTCATGTTTCATTAACATGATATATTTGATTGTTGGTGAATTAAAAAAAAAAGTGAAGTTGCTCTGATTTCCAAAATTAGGTCAATCATCAACCTAACTTACTTAAGCCTATCTCTATGCAAAACCTTTTTAACATTTAGAGAATGGTGTTTGTTTCATCATACTTACTTTATTTCTCTGCACATTCGATGTCAGACATTGATGTGAGCTGTTCCAGTTATTATGTGGCCTAAACCAGCAGTGATTGGTGTGGCCAAAGCATTGCGTGGTCCATCCAAAAGTGGCGTCATGACCATAATCATCATGTTTCACAGATGACAAGAACCCAGCCAGTGATTTAATTGCAGGGCCATAGAATCAGTGGAAGTGATTTGTACGAAACAAAAAAAGGAAAGTTAAATACCTTTTGAAAGACACTTGAATCCCATGATTACTTGAGGTAAGGGAAGTGAGAGGGATGGGTGAAGCAGAGAGTAGGGTAAGGGAGAGATATATCAAAAATAAAGAAAATACCAGAGCTAGGAATTACCTTAGATTCATGTGGTCCAATCTCTTAATGTTAAAGGCAGAGAGACATCCAGAGAGCTTCATTGACTAAATTAATATTGCATAACTGCTAAATGGTGAAGTTGAGTTTGAATCTAAGGTGAGCAACTGAAAACTGAGAGTTCACTCCACTTCACTGCGCTGTTTGGTACATTTTCCTTCATATGTCCATGTTCAGCGTGACTGGCATGTTCTGGCAGGATAGGAACAGGGAAGGCATGTCCTAACCAGTCAGGCTTGTGATTTTCTATTGGGTGAATAATTGTTCCTGACAGTACCATATCAAAAGCCAAACAGATCCACAGAGAGGAAAGTTTTGCTTTTACTTTGCTTGAAGAGTAAAAGTATTTTTGTGTCCAATGTAGAAAAGAGTGATCTGCTTTGCTCATAGAAAGTTCCTTTTGTTTACTCTGTAGCCCAGAGGCATCGTATTGGAGTGTCAGCCCTTGGGCAATAGGACTAAATGTCTAGAATTAGTAATGTAAAGTCGTTATGGTGTTTTACAGATTCAATATCATTTCAGAATCACAGTTATCAAGAGAGCACATAAGGGAAGAACACTGGTGAGCTTATTTAATGAAGTCATAGCCTGCACTCAATGTGCTATCTTCTCCCTGGGTGCCAAGTCACTGCTGGGCAGTTGGAGGGCCCAGGAGCTGGCATTGTTTTCCAAGGGCTAGGGCTGTCACACTGCTGCTCTAGGGGGCACTTGGGAGGAATGGAACCTCTTCCAGACTCGCCCACCACTGAGTCACATGAGCAAGTGGTGAAGGTTTGCTGGAATCAGATGTGAGATCTACATTTGTTTCTAAGTCATCATGGGAACCCCCTGAAACTTTGGAACGAAGATGCTAAGTGAATTGCTTCTCACTGGATCTCTCTCTTTAGAAGGTGAGAGCCAACTCTGCCCATAGGGACTGTTTCTACAAAGTGTGTCTGAGTGGGATGAGAGGGTGCCCCTTCTTATAAAGGTTTCCCATCTCCGAAGGGCATTCACAGCATGCCATCACTCTGCATCCCTTCCCTGTGGTCTGTCTGCCAGCCACTCTGGAGAAGCAACTTAGGGCAGTTATTTCAAACACCAGTGGCACTTCCATACCAACACTGAAGAACATGTGACTTCACCACCTAATTCTGGCAAATGATAACTGAGTTAAAGAATAATGTAAGCAAATGAATTTCCTCTCCTTGGCCGGTGGGACTGTGATTGGGTTATGCACAAATTCAGATTGATTTGCTAATATACATTTAGCTGTTCAACTCTGAGCTTAATTGCATTACCTCACCGGTATTCCACCATGACACATGGAAAATTATGAGGAATAACAAATAATAGAATGTGAAATAAATCCTGTTAGTCCTAACGTAGTTAGCGCTTTACAGCAGACATCCATTTTATAGATTCAAGCTGGAGGAATACTAACTCAGAGACGATGACTTGGTAACTGAGTTAGGATGAGAAAATGTGCTTAACGCTGACCTTTCTTGAAATGTGTCAACCCCAGCCTGATTACTTTGACTTCAGCTGATTAAATTTACTCCCCTCCGCAGACTGAAAACCCTATGTGATGCATTATCATGCAAAGTTGAATGACAGTAATGGAGACCCTCCTCCTAGACTCCCCGTTCCTGACAAATCATTTCCCGAAGTAGAGAAGTATTTATTTTCCTTTATGATAGAAATGTTTCTCTTTAGTTGCTATGAAATTAAGCCTTTGTAATTGGATTTTGGACTCTTTACTTTATGACTCTGCAAATATGAAATTAACCCCATCCCAAGAAATAATAGAGGAGTCTAAGTTCTAATGAGATTACCCCCATTTTAGATAATGACTCTGAATTTAATAAATCAAACAAAGCAACAATTAAGGACAGCCATTCCTTCCTCCTCTCCCTCCCAAGAGGAGGAAAAGAAAATAACCATCTAGGAATTATAGGTGACAAACCCACTGAGAGACACAGATCATAATGAGGGTGATTATTGGGTTGCTTTGCTTTTTAAAATATCTGCTTCAACACTCTTTGAGTGATGGAGTTCTTTTAAGCAATATTCAGCATCAAATTGGACAACTGAATTGGGAGGGGGTTCCTTGGGGGAAGAGGGGTTTATAGTGGTCACCCAGCACTCAGGCGATTGTCTGTAATCTGATCAGTTTTGTTTTTTAATCATTCTCCCTTCCTGATGTTTGTTTTGTCGTGTGTTATGTGACTAACAGAAGCGCTTATTCATTCCATTTGCCTTAAACAAAGCTCCTAGAGGTCTTAGAGCCATTGAAAGCACTCACATAAATTTAGTCTGTTTAACATTGTAGAGCTTAAGATTTCCTTTGTGACGGATTGACTTTTCATGGCATGTGTCACGTGACCAGGCATAGGTCAGGTTCAGACGCGTGCCGTACCACATCGCAGTGAACAGCCTTTGGTATGGTTTATCAGTTAGAAAGGAGGGACCAAAACCACCACACACACGTCAAGGTTGGAGTGAGTTTCCAACTCAACCATAAAAATAACATTTTTTTGGAAGTGAGTTGCTCACATAAGGCAGGCACAGATGCAGCATAGCTGCCTTAGCCTTTCCTGACCCTGGGGCCTCCAGGATGGGGCAGGGACAGGCAGCTGCTGTGACTCTGTCTACACAGGGAAAGGCCTTGCCCAACTTAAGCCATGAGCTTTCACTTATGCACACTGAGTACCACCATCCTGGAGGAACCTACTCCAACAATCCACATGCTTTGCTTTGAGGGTGTGTCTACAAATGTCCAACTTTCCTGGGTTTTCGGCCAAATTCAGAAAGAATTAGGCCACATCCTCACTCGGGAGGAGAAAGCAGTATCATTGCCCCCATCTTTCAGGTGGCCTGGGAAGTCAATTTCCCTGAAGTCTTTCCCACGATTCACACTTGACTGCCCCCTTTAGTGGGTGGCCTTGATGCTGGGTTTCTTTCAAAGAGCAAAACGACAATTCAATTCCCTGCAGTGTCCCTCTGAGAAGTGGTGAGGTATCACAGATCTAACCACTGTGAGTAGTGTGTTTTCTTTTTCTATAACTGGGAAAAGATCAATTGGCCTGTATTGGTAAGGATGAATCTTTCTACCTCACTTTATGTTATTTGTCTATTTTGAATATAATTATGGACTTTGGTCTTTCATAGATTCTCCTAGTAACTGCAATCTGTTTTGTTTTTTAAATTTCTGGAAATGTCATAGATGGGGCCCTGGAAGCCCTTTATGCATATCCTTGGCTGCTGTTTCTCTTCATCTTTGAAAGAATCCTCGCCTGTGTGCACTAAGAGAGTTCAGGCTCCTCCTGTGTTCTCTGACCTGGAATGTGAGACTGACTACTCGCCCAGCAGCTCAGGTTTCCTGTAGTGGAATATAACATTAGAGAATAAAATCCCAGTGGTTGGAACACACATTCTATTGTTTCAAATAAACACCACTGTTAGGTTAGGGTGCCAGCATTTAAGAGATGGAGCTGGATACTCAGGAAGCTGAGGCAGGAGAATCACTTGAACTGGGGAGGCAGAGGTTACATTGAGCCAAGATCTCGCCACTACACTCCAGCCTGGGTGACAGAGCAAGACTCCGTCTCAAAAAAAAAAAAAAAAAAAAAAAAAAAATGGAGCTCCCAAAGTGCATGACTTCATGTTTGACAGTGACCTGTAACTTTACTAAGTTTCTATTAACTAAAAAGAATTTAAATATCTAGACCCTTCCCACATGTTTTTCTGAGCTACCAGTTTTCTCTTTTTCACTAACTTCCACGTATCATACTACAGACTGTTGCTTAGGCCATGCATTTAAGTCACAGCATCACCCCTCCCCCAGATAGGGAGTGTCTATTTTATTTTTTCTCTGTGAACCTTGTCTCAGGCCTCCTGAAACTGACTCCACACTGTGCCTTCTCAGACAATCCCCTTCCCTGTCACACTAGAGCATTAAATACCTGAAAAGATAAAACAATTCACACCTCTCTCCGCAGTCTACTAAGGAACCCACAAGGTTGTCCACTCTCTAGGAAACACACATCAAATGCCTGAGTTTTAGATGGAGTCCAATGCAATTTATCTGATCAATAAATAAGTACTAAAAATTACAGACTTTTAATACTTATTTAAAATCGTCCCTGTGTTTTTCACATTTCGATGAAGCACAGTATGAGAACTGCTTAAATGTAGCCCCCCCTCCCTCTCTCTCTTCCTCCCTCCTTCCTTCCAATAGCATGTACTGATTACCTAGAGTATATACCATGCACTGGGCCCAAGTAAGTAAGTGCTCAAGAAAGGTTTGATTTTAGAAGGAAATAAAAGCTTGGCTGGCCAGTACAGCTCTCAGTGATCTGGAGGGTGGTGGATTCCACGATGTATCCTATCAGTGGCCTAATTGCTTTCTGCACACTTGGCCTATGCTATGTGTTATACCTATGCATTTCATTCCATTGCAGGTTTCTCTTCTCTTTCTGACACACTCTTTTCACACCACATTTTAAGTTGATTCATTTTACTGTTTCCCCTCATCTAATATAACCGATGAAGCCGTGCTTGCACAGAGAGGGAGATAAGGAATAACAAGCTGCTTCTATGAGGATTTCACTGTGTGTCTCCTGTACAGTATAAGAGATGGTTCATCCCACTCATTTAGCAAATTGTCATTAAGTGTGTGCTGTGTTCCACAGTAGTAAGGAAGCCAGATATGGTTTCCATCTCGTGGAGCTTCAGTCTGGTGGAGAGCTGAGACGGTTTTCAAGTAGCTGCAGTAGAGTATGACGAGAGTTTTGATCAGGGAATGAGAGGGGGATGTGTGAGCACTCGACCTGGGATGAGTATGAGCTACAGGACAGAAGCTTTCTGGAAGGATATGCATTCATGTCAAAAAACAGGACAGTTAAATCAACCGTATAGATTAGTGTAGTAGGCACACATGGAAAACCTAAACCGTAAGAGGAACAATATGGAGATCCCAATGTTTCAGAGTGATCCTTCCTGTAACTTGTTGGCCTGAAGTCGTTGAGGGAAGAGCTAGTGGGACGCTCTGGCAGGAATGTGTGTGGGCTCAGGGTTAATCTACCTCCTGGAGTGCACTCATTTTGATTTGCTTGGTGTTTCAGTCTCTGCTCCGGATCCTGGTGACCCCCAAGGGTCGTGCTGCCTTCAGAGTCTCCAGCGGGTTCAACGGGCTGCTGTCTCTGCTCTCTGACCTGGAAGGCTCCCTCCAGGAGCCCCCGCTGCAGGCATGGGGAGCAGTATCCCCCAGACAGACCCTGGAGCTGGTTTTGTACACTCTCTGTGCTGTGTCCGCAGCGCTGCACTGGGACCCTGTCAATGGCTACTTCTTCAGGAGGAATGGGCTCTTTGAGAAGCTGGCCGAGGACCTCTGCCTGCTGGGCTGTTTTGGAGCCCTGGAGGAAGAGGGCAACCTGCTGCGCTCTTGGGTGGACACAAAGGCCAGGCCATTTGCAGATTTGCTGGGCACTGCCTTTTCCTCCAGCGGCTCACTCCCACCCCGGATACAGAGCTGCCTCCAGATCCTTGGCTTTCTGGACAGCATGGCCAGCGGCACCCTCCACTTGCGTGGGGACCTGAAGGAGTCCCTGAGGACCAAGCAGGGGCCGGTTGTGGATGTTCAGAAGGGAGAAACTGGCAGTGACCCCCAACGCAACTTCAAGCAGTGGCCAGACCTGGAGGAGAGGTAGCTTCTTCTGCCAGTGTGTCATCAGTGCATCTCTGTCTCCCATTCTCACTCTAACGTCTTGCGCATGTGTACTCAGTAGGAAGGCTCAGCTACAGAATGGGTGTGCAGAAATGTCATGTGACCTCAACTTCCTCAAATCAAGTTAGCTCTGACTCCACACTCTTCTACCTTGGGAGCTGATGGAAAATTCAATCTGAGTCAGTACTGGGTTGGAGGATGCTGTCGAGTCACATAAGAACCAGGGAGGGCAGGACCCTGCTGCTACACTCACCTTCTCCTTTGGGATCTTTACTGTCCTAGGGAGCCCTGGTGCCTGGGCCTGGCATCCCTGGGTGTGCCAGGCAGCCTCGGTCTTCTCAGGTTTTATCTCCTCCCCAGGATGCTGCCAGGGGTGGGGTGAGATCCTTTGATCTGCAGGACACAAACCACAGTGTCCACCCCAATTATGGAACTCTTTCTGTTCTTTCTTGCTGCTTCTACACCCCCTAACAAAGACAATTGCTCTCCTTACTTCCGCAGGCCAAACACCTCAATGAGTTCAGACTTTAGTAAACAACTTTTTCCTCTCATGTCTGTAACAAAGAATTCCACTAAAGCAAGAGAGCACAAAGAACCATCCCTACCCCAACCCACTTGGGGTGGGAGGGAAAATGAAAGAACACAACAGTAACAGTTGGTGTCTTTTTCCATTCCTCTAAAGCATAAATGACAGAACACCCATTAATACTGCAGTAAGTTATCCTTCTGAAAGACACTGCATTTTTATCCAGAGTGCCCCGTTTGCCAGACTTCAGTGTTGGGGATGGTAGAGAGAAGGATGCATGTTAAATCTCCACACATTGAGATAATTATGATTTTTGGGGGTTAATCTGGCAAATTAATTGGTTTCCTAATCTTGCATTCCTGCGCAAACCAACTCATTCATAATCTGTGTATTGCTGAATTTGATGTACTAATGTTTAAAAAGGATTTTTGCACTGATATTCAGGAGGTTGGCCTTTCATACTCCTTTCCTGGCTATTTTTCTTGTCAGATTTATGCTAGCATCATAGCATGAGTTGGACAGTGCTTCTCTTCTATGCTACTGAAGAGTTTATGTAGATTGTTTATTTCCGTTCCCTAGCTAATGTGACAGAACTTGCCTCTAAATGCTTGTGAACCCGATGTTTTCTTGTGAGAAAATTTATTCTCATGAGAATGCACTTCTGTTTGTTCTTGAATTATTCTTGGTTTGTTATTTTGCAAGCTGATTTTCCCATTTCATCGAAGTTTCCATTTGTGGGCATCCGACTGCTCACGATGGCTCCCTCACGCTCTTCTGAGCAGAACTTGTGAGTTCTGTGACTCATTTCTAACCTGTTTACCTGTGTCTTCCTTGCTTTTTCTGCTTCAGCACTATTCACAATTGTTTACTTTTCAGTGTGCCCTATGAACCAACTTTGACTTTTCCTGTTTCTCCTACTGTTTTTGGTTATCATTTCCTTCTACCTTTGGGCTTATTCTGGTGTTCTTTTTCTTAACTTGGATGTCTGTTTCCATCTTCTTTTTACATGTAAATTTCTCTGTAATTTGTAAGTTTTATTTTCAGTATCATTTAGTATGAAATATTTTTCTAATTTCCCTTATAAATTATAGTTGACTCTTATGTGTTTGAATTTTGAATTTCCATTGTTACAGTGTTTCTAGTCATCTTTGCTATTTACTTCTCACTCTATCAAGGTGAGAGAAGGTGGATCGTCTGGGTTCTTATCCTTTGAAATTGGTTGAGGTTGACTTCATGGCCCTCAATGTAGTCCCTTCTCATAAATATTCCACATGTGCTTGGAAATAATGCATGTTCTCAGAGTGTTAGGTTCGATGTTCTATTTATGTCCCTTGGATCGAATTTGTCAATTGTTTCATTCAAATATCCTTTATCATTAATTTTTAAAGTCGGCTTGAAATATCAGCTTTTTGTTTTTTATTTTTGGAATAAACAGGCCTTATTGGGCTCATGGGTCTTGAGGGCCTCTGTGTATTTGTCAGTTTTCTTCTCCACGTTCTTTTTGGCCTGTTTCTGCAGCCTTATGAGCTATTTCTTCTTCTGGTAGTGGGTCTCGGCCTTCTCCTTCCTCTTCTCCTCCAGGGTGGCTGTCACTGCCTGGTACTTCCAGCCAGCCTCTTGAGCCAGGCGCCCCACGTAGGCAAACTCTCTTGTGGGCTTCAGATGCACAGCCTTGCGGGCAGCAGAAACACCCATCTAGTTTTCCTGCTGTAGGGCGGTGGGATTCCATCGAACACCTCGGCGTCCAAGGCAGCCTGGCCTCGCTGGGCCTTGCGGACCGCGGGCCCTGCACTGTCGGCTGGAAGACGCTGCTGGGGGCCAGGAAATAACAGGGGCCTCATCAGGGTTGGTGCTCATCCGCCTGCGGAAGAAGGCCGGGTACTTCAGCTTATTTCTGTAGAAATTGTCAGAAACGTTGACACTCTCGCAGCGCACCACCACCTTCCGGCCCAGCAGTACCTGCTTCACCACAACGGCCGCCAGGTGGCCCAGGAGGTAGCCTCGGTCTCCAGCACTGGGACCTGCCCCTCCGCTACCTGCGGCAGCGGCCTGGGAAATGGTGTATCAGTTATTGAGAACGATGCATTCAAAATCTCTCATGATAAAGTGGATGTGTCAATTTCTGATGAATTTTCCCTTACATATATTTGAGGTTGTAAGAATCATACATATTTAGAATTTTTATATTCTTATGGAGTCTAAATTTTTATCATTATATGGTGAACTTTTTATCCCTAGTTGTACATTTTGCCTTAATAATAATAGGACTATATCAGGTTTCTTTTGGTTAGTTCGTGCCTGGGATTTTTCTTCATCCTTTGGTTTTAACCTTTCTGTGTACTGTCCTTACATTTTTAGGTGTTTTTCTTGTAAACAATAAGGAACCACTTTTGTTGGTTTTACTTTGTTTTTCAATCTAGTGTGGTATTATTTCTCATTTAACTGGAGAAAGTCATTTGTTTACGCTTTCATAATTATTAATATATTTGGAATGATTTCTACTTAGCTTTTTACATTTGTTCCACTTTAAAAAAAAACATTTTTGGTCTTATTTTTGAATTGATTTTAAAAAATTGTGTTTCCTACCTACTAGTATGAAATTTAAACTCTCTATGATTAATTTTATAGTAGTTGCCCTAGAGTGAATTAACAGGCATACTCATGTTTTTAGTTAAACAGTATCTTTATCCTTCCAATTAAGACACCAAGACCTTAAAACTCAAATATTTTTGCCCTTTTCTAACTCATACATTACTATTAGCTAATATTTTAAACTTATCTCCTGTTAGTAAATCCATCAGATATGACAGTTATTGTTGTTGTTTTATAAAATATTCTTTGGATTTACCTACATGCTTTCAATGTCTGTGCTCACCATTCTTTTTTGCATCTCTATCCTTCCATCTGGGATTATTTTTTATCTACTCTAGTACATCTGTTAAACTTTCCTGTAGTGTGGGTCTATTTGTGGTAAACTCTCTTGGATTTTATTTGTCTGAAAACTGTCTTTATTTTCTCCCTAATTGCAGAAATATAGTTTTGCTGGGTAAACATTTATTGGTTGACAGTTATTTTCTCACAGTAAATGGAAGGTCTCCCCAGCTATTGCCTTCCATTGTTGCCTTTTAAAATCGTTTTTATTTCTCTTCCTTTGAAGGTAATTTGTCATTTTTCTCTGGTCGCTTTTAAGATCTTCACCATTCTTGTTCTATTGCTTTACTGTCATATATCTCAATGTACATTATTTTAAACATTTATTTTGCTTCATATTCATTGGGATTCCTGAATCCCAACTGATGTCTTTTATAAAATATGGATTTTTAAATTATGACCTCTTCTCCATCCCTTTTCCTATTATGCCTTTTTGGAACTAACACAATTAGATGTATGTTTTACTTTTTCATTCTATCCTCCCTTAATCTTTCTTTTACATTTTTCATCTCTTTGTCTCTCTGTACTCTGTTCCACACAGTTTCTTTTGGTCTTTCTTAAACCCACTGAATCTCCTACTAGCTGTGTCTAATCTGATATATAATCTAGCCATTTAGGTTTTCTTTTTAAAATTTCAATGACAGTATTTTATATGTCTAGATATACTGTTTCTTTTTCAAATAAACTTGATTTGATAGCCCTTTTCCTTTCTCATATCTTTCATTTTTATTTCTTCAAACACAAGAATCATAATTATTTCTTCTTGTGTTTTTTGAGAGTATATTGTTTCTGTGACAATCATGGAAGGTCCCTTGTATGATGTCTGATTTTTTATTGTGAATCTTGCTCCAAGATTTTCCTTTTCTTGGATTCCATAGAAACCATCCTCATTCAGGCCATTCTGCCCTTCTGTAGGTATGGGAATGCCTCCATGGGGTCTTAGCTGCCCTTTCCAAGCCAGGCCTTGGCCAGATTCCCAGGTCCTGATTTTCTTGCTTGTCTTGGGAAGAATTCCCTCTCTGGGTTCCCTGTTCTCTATATTTCAGGGGCAATCCCTGAGGAGGCCTTTTGCCTGGGCACCCTGATAACATACAGGTTAACTTAGGATCTTGGTGTGGAAACTTGTTTGACTTATTCTGCCAGCTCTCAGGGGCAGGGGAGTATTTGTCAGTATGAAAAGACATTTAGTAAGTGATATCAGGTGAAGAAAAGCAATAGTAATTAGTTGAATGTCTATGGAGGCTGAGCACTAAACATCTATTTATTTTTATTTCCCTCCAAAATTTTGGAATTTTATCAATAAGGAAACAAAGGCTGAGAAAGGATAAAAAACATGGCCAAAGGTCACACATTTAGTAAATAATAAAGCTAGAATTTGAACCCAGGGCTACCTCCAAAGCCTGCATGCATTTGTCTGTGCGTGCGTGTATGTGCACACACGTGTGTGTGTTCTTCCTGTTTTTTTCCTGATACTCCCACAATAATAGTGATAGTTTTCCAAATGTCTGACACGACAGCCTGCAGTTTGAAGATTGGGTTCTAACCAATGGACTGCGTCAGTCCTGATGTTTTAGAGGTGAGTCCTGTGTCAAATGTCATCCTGGTTTTGTAATGAGTAATTTTTACATTTATAAGACCCATGTTTCATAAATAGAGCATTTTTTTTTCTCCCTAAAAGAGATACATGGCCCTTGACCTTCCTTGATGGTTAGAGAATAGGAAGTGAAACTCTACCCCCTCCAGGGAGTCTGCAGAGTAAAGGGCATGGCAGTGGGCTGGGAATGGGAGACAGGGTGCTCGTCTCTGCCGTACCACACTTGTATGTCCTTGGGCAAGTGGCTTCCCTCAGCCCTGCCTTCTGCAAAGTAGGTCCCAAGTCTCCAGGGAGGAGGGAAAGAGGCCGTGGGCCTTGGAGTCAGGCCTGCTTGTTCTATGCCTTGGTGGCTGTGTTCTTTGGTCCTGCTACTTTATTTCTCTAATCTTCCATCTCCTGATTTGAAGGCAGACATAATAATAGTATCTACATTGAGGGAAGATGGTAGTTAGAGTGATCACAGCTGCTTCCTAAGCATGTGTGCGCCAGACACCATGCTCAGCTTTTTACAATGGACTATTCTTCAATTCATTTAGTCTTTATGGTAACTATAATTTAAGGAATATTTTTCATAACACAGAGGTGACATGTTATGTAATTCCAAAAATATATCTATGGTGTCCAAAATACATCATATATCTCTATGAAACATGCACCATACCAAATAAACACCCCTACACCAAACACACTATATACACATCACATGCACATATACATACACCACATGTACACAAAACACACACACACCACACTAAACATACACCTTACACATACTGGCATACCACACACCCACACACTGCACTTACACACCACACAGCACCTAGCACATACACATGAATACACACCACACATACCACCTACATATGCTACATACAGACACCACACGACACACACAAATACCACACATACACACATACTACATATCCACACTACATACACACACCATAGAATGGAGTGCTTACCCCTCAGCAGCACATCATCCACAGTGCAGGTCTGGAGGTGAAAGTGGAGCAGAAGCAGGGTCAGACTGTGGTGGGCCTTGCACAAACCCTATGGGAGACCATTTCACTTTTACCCTATAGGCAATGTGGAGCTAGGGTGGTCTCTGTGCAGGACTGTGGCATCATGGGGTTATGGGTTATGAGGACTGCTCTACAACTGGGTCTGTGTATAGCTCTGAGAAAAGCCCCCTCCAAAGCAAGGCAGCCCTGCTCCTTCTTGCTTCTGCCTTAGCATATGCCTTCTCCCAGCCCCTGCCAGGCCTCGTGGGCTGACGTTTATTCCTTATGTCAGCCAAAGGAGCAACCCCAGTCACCTTTACCTTGAACTTAAGTTGTGGCTATAACTTATAGCCCTAAGGGGACATCATTTCAACAGGAATGCGGTGTGCTCCAGGCAATAGTTAAGGTTTCATGGGGCACTCTGCAGGCCAGAGCCCTAAACACTTACTCCTCTGGCTCTGCTGCTGGGCATCCTGCAGCTTCATCCTAATCTTTCCTGTTGAAACAATGTCCCCTGTGGGTATGAGTTATATCTGTCACTTAAGTTTGTTAGAGGTAATTGTTGTGCCAGACCATTGAGGAAGGGTGGGGGACAGTGTAGTTCCTGAACAGTTCACATGAAGGCCACACTGGCCTTTGGAAGGCACAGATGTGACCCTGTCGTTCCCACTTGGAAGCCTCCAGTGCTTTCCCATGATTCCCAGGAGGGAGTCAGGCATTGGGAGTGTGGGGCACACAGTTCTGGGGGTCCTGCCTGCCCATGGCATGCAGCCATGCAGCCATGTTTCAGACTCAGATTTCACATATGCCCTTTACTCTACCTGGGATGCCTTTCCTGTCTTCACTCTGCCTGGACAGTTGCTTCTTATGCTTTTGTCTAGGTTTAGATGTCACTTCTTCCAAGAAGCCTCCCCTGGCCTGCCCATCCCCATCCCATGGGCCAAATCAGATCCCACTGCCTCACATTTCCTCAGCACCCTCAGCACTGATCACAGTGCAAATCAATGATTAATTGTGTAATCTTCCTTGGTTTCTTATTTCTTTGGTTTGTGTTTGCACACTTGAGCATATCTGAAACCAGGATATGTATTAAAATGGATGCCAAGGACATCAGCCACTTAAGTCGTCTCTTCCCCATCTGCTAATAAAGGCACTGTACATCTATCAATTTTTGGTTTCTTACCACTGTTGAAATAAGATGGTGTTCAAATCTCTTTCTTCTGCTTCAGTGGTGAGGCCCATGTGAGCATGGACTGGGTCTGCAGCTACATCAGGGACCCCTGTGAATGGTCACTGAGTAGAATATGGGCATGAATGAATTGAGAAGATGGACAGGACAGGAGGAAAGGCAGGGAGGGTTGGCAAGGCAGATAGTCTTGGACTCTCGTGCCTGGTGTCCTGAAGACACCTGATGTGCAGTTGTCCTGCAACTGCTTCAGATATGGCTGCTCCTGCCTGCTCCTCTTCTGGGCTCCCACCTAGTAGAGACATGAATGGAGCATTATCCTTGTATGGTGGGGACCCTGGCAAGGGCAGGCCCAGAAATTGAGAGGACGCAGAGAAGTGCACCTAATGAAGTCTGGGGAGGAGGTCAGCGAGGCGTTCCTGGATGAGGAGACCACTGAGCTAAACATTTAAAGATGAGAGTTATCTGGTCTGAGATGGGTTGAGGAGGCATAAAGGTGAGACTCAAAATCAACTATCTTGAGTAAGGTTTGTTCCTGCCTTCTGTAGGCATTGCTCGGACTTTAAGCTGTAGTAGGGCTTTAAGCTATAGGGATGGATGGGCAGAGATGATGGCTGGAAAGGAGAGGAGCAAAGGAGCTGTCAGTTGCTCCTTCCAGGGATGGCAGTAGCTTGAACAGGAGAACATTTTGAGAACTATTTAGGACGTAACTTTGCCTGGCCTTGGTAACCAATTTGATGAGAGTGTGAGAGAGACTGGTTGGTGCTAGTCCCTGAGAGAGAAGCCCTAGAGTTTTGGAAGAGGATGGTGGCTGTCTGGAGTAATCAGCATGGACTGCACAAATGAGGCCGCTTTGCTTTTAATTTTCTAATGCATCCCTCAAGTATCCACAGGCCTTAGTAACAGGAGATAGTTATTAATCTTGCCTCCTGAAGTTTGATAGAGTCCACATAGGGGGCAGTCTGTCTGACTTCCATATCTAAGCAAGACAAGTACCAGGATTGGAGTAGTCATCCTCTCTGTCATGCAGCTGCTGTGGGTGGCAGGATTTTATAGCCAAGCTCAGGGGCTGTGTGAAATGATGAGGCTTCACTGGTTCACGTCCTGCAAAGGCCCCTAGGCTTCTTCAAATGAGATGCAAAATTTGGCCAAGCACGCCTCACACCACCACTGGCTCCCAAAGATACAGGCACTTTGGGATTTGTACTTTTGATTACAACTTTCTGTCGTACCCACAGGTCCCTTGCGAGATACAAGCCGTCTGGGAACACCAGGTCAGGTGGGGGATCAGTGTCTGCCATCCTTGGGATCCAGAACCTTGTCTCCATTCCTGCTCTGTCAATCCCTACCTTACAGCAATGCTTCTCATAGTGTGGCCTGTAGACCACCTGCATCAGAATCCATTGTAAAGTTGCACAAAAATATAGTTGTGTAAACTAGATTTCCCGAATCACAAATCCCTGGGGTTGAAATTTAGGGTTCTGTTTTTAAAAAGGTCCTCTTATTATGTGTAAGCACATTAAAGTTTGAGAACTGCTCCAGGTGCTGGACATCTTTTACTTTAAAAAAATCTTAGCTTTTTTCACTGAGGTGAGATTTGCAGAACATAAAATTAATAATCTTAAAGCAAACAATTCCATAGAATTTAATGCATTCACAGTGTTGTGCAAAGACCACCTCTATCTAATTCAAAACACTTTTATCACCCCAAAAGGAAAACCTATACTCATTCTCATTCTTTTCCCCAGTCCCTGGGCTACCACCAATCTGCTTTGGGGATTAAACTGTTCAGGATAAATCATGTGTAAATGGAATCATGTAATAGGTTTCCTTTGGCGTTTGACTTCTTTCAGGTAGCTTAATATTTTTGAGATTCATTTACATTGTAACGTATATCAGTACTTCTTTCCTTTTTACAATAAAATAATATTCCATCATATGGGTACACACCACAGTTTGTTTATCCATTCATTTGTTGATGAACATTTGGGTTATTTCCTTTGGTTCTTGTAAATAGTGCTGCTATGAACATTCATGTTCATGTATTTATTTGAGTACTTGTTTTGAATTCTTTTGAATATATACCTAGGAGTAGAATTGTAGCTCAATTCAATAGAATTGTAGGAACTGTAAAACTGCCTATTTTCACAGCAGCTGAACCAATTTTACACACCCAACAGCAATATAAAAGGTTTTCAATTTCTCCACAGGCTTGCCAATATTTATTTCCCTTTAAAAAATTTTTTAGCCATTCTAATGGGCATGGAGTGTTATCTCATTGTGATTTTGATTTTTGTTTCTCTAATGGCTAATAATGTTGAATTTTTTTATGTGCTTTTTGGCCATTTGTATATCTTTTTGGGGGAAACGTCTATTCAAGGGCTTGGCCCATATTTTAATTGGGTTGTTTCTCTTTTTGTTGCTAAGTTGTATGAATTCTTTATATATTGTGGGTACTAGACTCTCAAAAGAAATATGATTTGCAAATATTTTCTCTCATTCTGTAGGTTCTCCTTTCATTTTCTTAATAATGTCCTTTGATGCACAAAAATTTTCAGTTTTGATGAAGTCCAGTTTATCCATTTTTTCTTCTGTTACTTGTGCTTTTGGCATTATATGTAAAAATCCATTGCCAAATCCAAGGTCATAAAGATTTACCACTGTGTTTTCTCCTAAAAATTTTGTTTTGGCTCTTATTGTAGATAATTAATTCATTTTGAGTTAATTTTTGCATATGGCAAGGGGTCAGGGTTCAACTTCATTCTTTTGCTTATAGCTATTCAACTGCTCTGGTACCATTAGTTGAAGAGTCCCTTCTTAAATTGTCTTTGTATCCTTGTTGAAAATCAAGGGGCCACAGATACATGAGTTTATTTGTGGATTCTCAATCCTATTTCATTGATCTCTATATTTATCCTTATGTCAGCTCCACTGTTTTGATTATGTAGCTTTGTAGTAGGTTTTGAACTCTGGAAATGTGAGTTGTCCAACTTTATCTTTTAAAATATTGCTTTGGCTTCTTAGGGTTTCCTACAATTCCACATGAATTTGAGGGTCAGCTGTCACCATTTGGCATGCTGCTAGCTGTGGGCTTTTCATAAATGCCCTTTATCATGTTGAGGAAGTTTACTATCTATTTCTAGTTTTTGGAGTGTTTTTATCATGAAAGAGTGTGAGATTTTGTCAAATGCTCTTTATGAGTCAAATCAGATGATCATCTGTTTTTTGCCTTTGTCTATTAATGTGGTGTATTTTGTTGATTGGTTTTGTTATGTTGAACCACCCTTGCATTTCTAATATAAATCATACTTGGTCATGACATATAATCCTTTTAATATGCTGTTGAATTTAGTTTGCTAGCATTTTGTTTAGGATTTTGCATGTATGTTCATAAGGGACATTGATCCCTTGGATATTGGTAGGTTTTTTTTTTTTTTTCTGTATTGTCTTTGTGTGGCTTCAGTATCAGAGTAAAAATACAGGCTTCCTTGCTGTTCCTGGAATATGCCAGACATACTCCTACTTCAGGGCTTTTGCAATGGCTCTTCTCTTTGCTTGAAATGCTTTTCCCATGGATGTCTGCATCCCGTCTTTCAGTTTTGCCCTTCTTAAAGAGGCCAAACCTGCCATTCAAATTAAAGTTGTAAATTACTCTCCTTCTGCATACAAGCACTTATCAATCAAAAATCAAATTTTTGTCAATTCTCCTTTCTTGGCTCTTTTTTTCTCAATAGCACTTATCATTTCTTATTCATTATGATATTATTATGTTATATATTAATATGTTATATTATACACAATAATTATTAATTTTAATTTACTTATTTATTGTGTTTATCTTTATGTCTACACCCTTCCCCTCACACCCAGGTCATGGATTTTAGTTTGTTTAGTTTACAGATGTATCCAGAGTGCCTGAATAGTGCCTGGAAAATAATAAAAGGTCAATAAGTATTTGCTCAGTTGATTTGAATAAATTACGCCCAAGCACAAGAAACACTCCTGAGCACCTTAGCTACTCTGAGGACTAAAAACAATCTCACTTTGCATATGACAGCAGCAACATGGGCAGGGTGTTGGAAAACTGGGTGTTGGTAATTTGGGATTAGCCTGTAGTTTATTATTATTATTTCAATTCACATGAAGTAAAAGTCTCTTTTTTTGGCCTACAGTTCTATGGGTTTTAATTCATGTGTAGAGTCACACGACTACCACCACAATCAAGAAACAGAACAGTCTCATCACCTCAAATAGCTCCCAGATATTGCCCCACATAGTAAAACCTTTTCTCCACCCTATCCTCGCAACCGTGGATCTTTCCTTATAGTTTTGTCTTTCCAGAATACCATATACATGGAAGCATACATGTGTAATCTTTTGAGCCTGGCTTCTTTCGCTCAGCATAAGGCCTTTCAGATTCACTCATTTTGTGTGTATCAGTAGTTCATACATTTCTGTTGCTGAGTAGTTTTCCATTGTAGGGATGCAAATGTTTCCTCCCAGCCTATAGCTTATCTATTCATCTTTAAATAGGGTCTTCCACAGATTGAAGGTTTTAAATTTTGATGAAGTCCAAATCATCATTTGTTTTTACTTTTATGTATTGCACTTTTATGTCATATCTAAGATCTCTTTGCCTGACGGCCATGAAGATTTTCTCCTATGTTTTCTTCTAAAAGTTTTACAGGTCTGTAATCTGTTTTGAGCTACTTTTTGTACCATGTGTGAAGTTTAGATTGAGATTCATTTTTTGTTTGTTTGTTTTTGCTTATGAATGTCCAATTCTTCCAATGCCATTAGTTGAAAATATTATCTTTTTTTCCATTGAATTGTCTTTATAACTTTGTAAAAACTGCTTAGCCATATTTATATATGTCTTTGGACACTATTTGATTTCATTGACTTATGTGTCTAGCTTTTCACCAATATTGTCTTGATTACTGTGGCTTTGTAAGATATCAAATGCAAGCTCTCCAAAGATATTCTTCCTTCTCAAATTTGCTTTGGTGATTTCAGTTCCTTTACCTTTGGCTGTCCTGATGGAACCTCGTTATTTTATATATAGGTAGGTATTGTTTGCTGATTGTTGAGGATTTTTGCACCTATGTTCATTAGGGATACTGACATGCAGTTTTTTTATACTGTGTTTTTCTGTTTTCAATATCAGGGTAATTCTGACTTTGTAAAATGAATTGGGAAGTGTTCCTTTCTGATACCATATAAATGTTAATGATCAGCTTGCCTATATCTACAAAAATTCCTGCTGGGATTTTTATTGGAATTGCATTAGATCTATAGATCAATTTGGAGAGAATTGACAATTTAACTATAGTAAATCTTCCAACCCATAAACATAGTGTGCTTTTCTGTTTATTTAGGTCTTTGATTCTTTCATCAAAGTCTGTCATATTCAGTGTAGGGCCTGCACATGTTTTCTTAGATTTATACCAGAGTCTTTTGTTGAACACACTTCCAAAGGGTATTTAAAATTTTTTGGTTTCTAATTTTTCAATTCTAGTATTTAGGAATATGGTTAACTTTTGTATGTCGACTATTATTCTGAGACTGCTAAATTTAATTATTAGTTCTAGAAGTTTTTTTTTTTATGGATTCCTTGGGATTTTCTATGAAGACAATCTCATCGTCTGTGACTAGTGCCAGTTTTTGGTCTTCCTTTCCAATCCATATGTTCCAGTATTACATCCAATAGCAATGGAGAGATCCTTGCTTGTTCTTAATCTTAGGGAGAAAGTCTTCAGTCTTTGCCATTGAATATAACATCAGCTATGGGAATTTGTAGATGCCCATTGTTAGGTTATAAACAATTCCTTTGAATTTACTGAGAATTTCTTTTTATCATGAGCAGATTTTTAATCTTTCAAATGCTTTTTATGCATTAAATGATATTATCATGTGATTTTATTAATATGGATCATGTTGACTGATTTTTGAATATTAAACTTGCCTTGCATTTACGGGTAGTCCAATTGGCCATAGTACCCTCGTTATTTTATATGTAGCTAGGTATTATTTGCTGATTGTTGAGGATTTTTGCACCTATGTTCATTAGGTATACTGAAATGTAGTTTTTTTATACTGTGTTTTTCTGTTTTCAATATCAGGGTAATTCTGGCTTTATAAAATGAATTGGGAAGTGTTCCCTTCTCTTGTGTTTTTGAAAGAAGCTGTGTAGAACTGGTGTTATTTCTCTTTTAAATGTATGGTAGAATTTGCTGGTGAAAACACTGAGCCTCAAGGTTTCTTTGTGGGCAGGTTTTTAGCTACATATTCGGTTTTTGTAATAGCTATAAATGATTTAGGCAACTTATTTCTTCTTGTTGAGTTTGGTAGTTTGTGGCTTCGAAGAAAACCGTTTGAAGGTAGTTTATGACTTTGAAGGAACAATTACTGAGAGGAGTGTTGAACTCTCTAACTATAATTGTGGATTTGGCCATTTGTCCTTTCAGATCTATGAGTTTTTCTTTCTGAATTGTGATGCTCTGTTGTAAAGTGCAAACACGTTTTGAATTGTTATGTCTCTTTTAATCATCATATCATATAATCTGTTTATTATGAGTCATTTTCCTTGCTCTAAAGTCTGTTTTCCCTGATATGAGTAGAATTACACCAGCTTTCTTTTGATTACTGTTAGGATGGTATAAATTTTTCTATCCTGTTACTTTTAACCTATCTATATCACAATATTTAATGATGGCATATAGCTTTGTTTTTATTTCTTTCCATTCTGACAATAGTGTCTATCAGTTTTTAATGTGTTTGAATTATTGATGTGTTTGAATTTAGGTTCAGGATTTTATTGTTTGTTTTCTCTTTTTTTTTACTCTTTTTTTGTTCCTCTACTTCTGTTTGCCTGCCTTTTTGTGGACAATTTGAATATATTTTAGTATTCAATTTGAGTTTATCTACTGAATTTTTTGACTCTCCTTTTTTGTCTCTCCTTTTTTTTTAGTGCTTTCAATAGGGACTGCAGTATACTTAATTAACTTTTAACAGTCTACTTAGAATTGACATTTTACTATTTCAAATGGATTATAGAAAGCTTACCTCTACGCCGTTCCCTCTATCCTTCCCTATTTTTGTTGTGGTTGTCTTATGTATTACATCTAATACAATGTCACTTTCAACCATCATACCTAAATTTAAGAACTTAAGAAGAGAACAATAATAGTGTATTATATTTACCCAAATATTTACCATTTCTGTTGCTCTTTCTTCATCCCTGAAGTTTCCTTTCATTATTTTGTTATTATTTTCCTACCATCTGAAGAAATTTTAAAAGTATTATTCTTAGAACAAGTCTGATGGCAAGAATCTGTCTTCCTTCATCTGGGAACACATTTATTTTGCCTTCATTCTGGAAGCATGTGGATATGGAATTCTGTGTGTATTTTTGTAGCACTTTAAAAATGTTGTTTCCATGACTTCTGCTTTCTTATGAGAAAATCCAAGGTTATTCAAATTGTCGTTCCCTTAAATGTAATGTGTTGTTTTTCTCTGGCTGCTTTCAAGATTTTTAAAATTTTCTTTAGTGTTCAGCAGTTTGATTGTGCTGTGTCTGGGCATAATTTTTTTTGTTTATTTTATTTGGGTTTTGCTAAGCTTCTTGAATCTTTAAGGTTATGTATTTCACCAGCTTTGAAGAAAGAAGTACTAAAAACTTCTCAAACGTTTTTTCTTTCATACCATACTCTTTCTCGTCTCCTTGGAGGATTCTAATGACAGAAATGTTAGATCCTTTGTTACACATGACCTTGAGTCTGTCTTTATTTTTAGTAATCTTTTTCCTTTTTGTTGTTCAGATTAGGCAACTTGTATTGCTCCATCTTCGTGTTCATGGACTCTCCTCTCATCTCATTCTCCTATTGTTCTCATTTAGTGAGTTTAAACAAATTTCAGTTGTTGTGTTTACTTGATTCTTTTTTATTGCTTCTATTTATTTACTGAAACTTTCTGTTTTTCATTTATTTGAAAAATGTTCACTCTTACTTCTTGGAATTGGGTTAATAACTGCTTTAAGGGTTTCGTCTGATAGTTCCAACATCTGTGACATCTCAGCATTGGCATTTGTTGGTTGTCTTTTTCCACATGAGATGTTGAGACTTCCCTGGTTCATTCTATGTTGAGCAATTTCAGGTTGTATTCTGGACATTTTGAATCTTATCTTATGAACTCTGGTCTTTGTTGTCATCTTATAGAGAATGTTAATGAATATATATATATATATCTTAAGGTAGGGAACTAGCCCACTTAGGTTCAGGTTGCAAGTTTCTGCCCATCTTCCCTGGACTCTCTGGTTCCAGTATCAGTTCAGT
The DNA here is from genome assembly GCF_000001405.40 of Homo sapiens. Taxonomy (NCBI): domain Eukaryota; kingdom Metazoa; phylum Chordata; class Mammalia; order Primates; family Hominidae; genus Homo; species Homo sapiens. The sequence continues at coordinate 48,759,141 of NC_000010.11, forward strand.
TTTCAAAGACTGCAGGGAGATTTGATGTGCGCTCACTTGCTTCATGCAGTAACTGGTTGTGTGTGGTGGTTTACCTCCTAGTTAGGGTCAGATGCACATACACAGTCAGAACTCAGCCCAGAGGTTAATATACAACTTTGTGGTTACATTTTCCTCAGCTTCCTCTTCTTCATCCTTTCCTTAACACTTGCTGGCTCCCAAGGGGTCCCTTCCTGCTCTGTCTAGAATTGGCGCTTTTGTTTCTCTGTTCTTCCCTGTGTCACTGGTATCTGTCTCTGGGGCCATGCAGTGAGGGGAGAAAAGGAGAAAAGAGCAATGGGAATTTTACCTACACTCTTGGGACTACAGGTCCTCTGGTCAGAGAGAAAGTTTCTCTTCACTGAGAGTTTTAGAGTCTGCCTGGCTGCTGCTGCTGTTGCTGATGCTGAGGGAATTGCCTGAAAGATGGGTTGGGAAAGAATGGGGAAACCAAACAAAGAAAATCCCAGGGGATTTCCTCCATGCTCTGTGACCTGTAAAACCTCCTTTCCTGCTCCTCAGACCAGAAACAGAGGACTTCTCTTGGAGCTCTTTCCATCATGTCTACACCTTGTGCACAGTTGCGAGTTTTAGGCTACCTGTGAGTTCACACCAGGGGATGCTGCAGAGGGGAAGCCCAGAAAGCTCACTGCCAGTTCATAGTGCTTGAGTTTGGTTTCCTTCTCGGCTACCATTTACTTTCCAGAGTCCTCCAAGAGCTGCTCCATGAGTTCTAAGTGTTTTAGTTGCATTCGGTATTCAGGGGGTGGGACAGAGCTGAGTGTGCTTACACCATTTTGAAGGGACCCAGAAGCCTGTGTGTGTGTGTGTGTGAGTGAGTGTGTGTGTGTGTTCAATATGAAACCAGAGCTTCTCAATCTCCAACGTATCTGGAGGGAAGGGAAGAAAACCAGGGAACTAACTTCACTGAGCATCAACTATGGGTCAGGCACTGTGCCTTGGAGCACAAAAGCATTCTTCTATGACTGTAGGGGGAAAGTGTGGTACTGTCAATGCCTTTTAGAGTTGGAGGAAATTAGGCTCGATGGAGTAGTTCAATGTCATCTAGGTAATAAGACAGGATGTGTACCATGATCTGTCTTAGAAAGAAAGATCCAGGAAGCTCAGTGAAAATAGAAAGAAACTGGAAGGTCCGTGTCTCATGTCTGGCTCTCCCTCTCTCTGCAGGATGGATGAGGGAGATGCTGCAATCATGCATCCCGGGGTCGTGTGCATCATGGTGAGGCTGCTGCCTCGGTTGTACCATGAAGATCACCCACAGGTACCTGGTGTTGAATATGTGTGTTTTGTCATCTTCACATGACTGATCTCTCAAATGCCTTCTGACCCAAGACAGCTTTTTTCCTTTTGTCCGTGTCTTCAGTGCCCTGCGTTAGCAGAGCTCCCCATGGGAAACACCTATAGTGGGAAAGTACCAGGGTGTCCTGGACACTTGACTGAGTTGTGCCCACCCTTGCAAGGCCATCCAAAACAGATCACTTCTGTTAACAAAGCTACCTTCTAAGAACAACAGCCAAACAAAAAAACAACTGAAAATAATTGAACCATAGTAAGGCAAGTCCCAGGTGTTAAGCTCAGCACCTGGCGTTGGTGGGAAGTCCTTTGCTCCCTGGCATGTTCATCTCTCTCCTGGATGCTGGCTGAGATCCTGGCCCTGTGCTCTGTGCAGCTCATGCACAGCTAGCAAGATGAGCATAGACACTGTCCACAGAGCCCGCCTCTATGATGGGGATGAGGAGGTAGTGACAGTGCAGACAGACTAAATAAATGAGCTCACAAGTGAATATGAAATTATGAATTGTGACGAGTGATATTACAGGGAAAAATCAGGGTGCTGAGGTAGAAGAATGAGAATGGAGGCAGGAACAGATCTCATTAAATCTAATTTAGATAAAGGGTTGGAGGTCAGGGAAGCCGTCTCTAGATGGTGACATGTAAGCAGAGACCTGAAGGGTGAGTAGCTAGTGTGAACTGGGTGGGAAGGGGCCTGCTGTTGGTGGCTAGGGGAGGAGCAAATTGGAAGGGCCAGGAGCAAGGGCTCCCTGGTCAGGCGATGATGGGGATAATGGGGCATGCAGGCTTCTGGGAGCCTTGCCAATGTAAATGATAACAAGAAGCCTCTCTCACGTGAGTGGAGGGTGACATGATCAGATTTTGCGTGAAAAACATTACATTGGCTGCTTGGTGGAGAATGGACAGGGAATGAGGGTTGAGAGGAAGAGGCAAGGGGCAAGAGTTAGGAGTCTCTGCCTGCGGTCCATGTGATGTGTGGTGATAGCTGGATTAGGGTGGTGTCTGTGAGAAGGTGTGAAGAAAGGAATTAAGAGACCTGTCCAGAGGCAGAATCACAGGCTTTCAGGAAGAGGAGGCTACAGGTAATGGAGAGACAAAGAGCCAAGGCGACTCTCAAGTGTCTGTCCCGGCAGAACTAACAGCCTCATTGTGGGAAGGAAAACTGGTATGGGTGAGGGCATGGAGTAACAGAACAAGACGAAGTTGGAGTCAGCAGTCTCAAGATAAAGAACAAATACCTTAGAAGTTCCAAGAAAGAGCTGGGCAGAGTTGAGGAAGGCCTGGGAAATGCACCAGTTTAGGTTTATCAGCAGCCAAGGAAAGAGGATTCATTGGCTTGAGCAGCTACTCTGTCCCAGGCTGATGCTTGGCCCTTTCTTGGCTTATTTATTCCTCTTGCAGTTTTGTCGAGGGCATCAATGCCAGTATTTTAACCAATGGAGAAATGTGAGTTCAGACAATGCACATGACTCTCAAGGATGCCCAGTTGTGAACCTGGTATTGAATGTGGCCTTACCTTGGGGCAGGACTCCTGGTCTTCCCTATACATAGAAGTGGCTTCCAGAGGATGAATAGAGGGACCTGGCACTCCCAGGAAGCAATGAGGAGTCCAGCTTTGCTTTGTCCAGGAGTTCAGACGGAGGCAACATGTTTGGGGAAGAAATTGCTACTAGTTGGCATTATTAGTCACAGCCTAAAAATGACAGTGGCCTCATAAAAATATTGCAAGTCCTCTGAGATCAGTGAGAAAAGTGGAGTGGCGGAGCAGAAGCTCTGGGACAGCAACTGTTTCCAGGAAAGGAAATCTGTAGTGTTTGGCGCAGGAGTTAAGAAAAGGCCTGACCCAGTTTCATGTCTCCATGTCCCTTCTTTGGGGAATGGACTTCTTGTTCCTGCTCCTGTTCCCCTGCTGGAGAGTGATGGGAAAGTGCTGTGAAGCCAATGGCAGAGATACACATAACAGTGAGATTTGGGAAAGGGGTAGGCTGGTATAAACTGGGATAGGAAGTTAAAAACATCCGTGTCATTTCTCATGGTTCTGTGGGTCAGGGATTCAGAAGGGCACAACAGGCATGGCCTGTCTGCTCCACATGGTGCTGGTGGGGTTGAACCTCCCAGGATGACCTCTTTAGCTGTGGCACCTCAGCAAGGCTGGCTCCCTGGCAAAGGGTTCCTAAGCTGGCTTAGCTGAGTGGCATACCTGGGGCCTTGGTTGAAGCTGTCAGTGGGATCCTGGGGTCTCCTCTACATAGCCCTCTCCATCTGGCCTCTGCCTGTGTCCCTCCAGGCAGGCTCTTTAGCAGGGCACACAGTGGCTCCGGGCCCCCACAGGCACAAAAGCAGAAGCTGCCAGGCCTGCCAAGGACTTAGGCCCAGGAAAAGCCAGCTTTGGTCAAAGTTAGTCAGGGGCTCGGCTTAGACTTAGTGGGAGGGGACAAAAGCCTCCTCTTCTGTGAGGGGTGACAGGTGTGTGTAGGTGAGAGATGCCTATGGGGAAATATCTTCAAAGATCAGCAGCTGTCATTACCTTACTCATCTAACAAATGGGTAAAAACATTTGACCCCTAAATCCCATCTTGTAGCCCGTGAATTACTTGGAGTCTGGGATCTTACATTCTCTGGCTTGGTATTTAAGCCAGGACCTACCTGGGACAACATGGAGACTATTACACATTAGACATCACCTCTGTGCCAGGAATGCTATTTCTCCAATCTTCACAGCAACCTTTTGAAGTCCATGAGATGCTTCCCATTCTGCAGGTATTTGGGGCTCAGGAAAGTTGTTTGGCTTTCTAAGATTGTGGTGATGGTGAGGGGAAGATCTGAAACACCTCTGGCCCAAGCTTAAGATGTGTTGGATCTTTGCAGCTCTCACAGACTGCAGGGTCATGCATTCTGGGCATGGCACACCTTTCCAGGTACAACAGCCTTATTGTGAGGGCATCTGGCTTCCTTAGCTGTATTTCATACAACGCATTGTACTTGCAATTGGAAAGACACAGCCAGTGGTCTGGGTGGTCTTAGCAGTCAAACAGTTGCTGATGGATGTATTCTGCAAAAATCCACTGCGGCCTCTTACAGGCCTGGAAACTCCATGGATGAGCCTCAGTTTTAGATGAATTCCCTGAGTCATCACATCACCATATGGGGAAGAACCTCTGCTCTTTGCTTATCCTATGACAGTAATTGGACAAATGAAGTATGCAACTGATAATTCCATTTGGAGCGAGTTACTTTTTCTATATTCAGGTCACAATAAGTAATTTAGGAAAAGTCTAATTCTCCCTCGCTGTCTCTCAAATATGCAAATGAAATGTAGTGCATTTTCTCCAGTATTTTCTGCAGATGCCAAATCAGCAGCTATTAAAGTTGGATAATTACAGTAATTAATTTCTGTAAGGGAGTGGGGAAACCTCACAACAACAGATAGAATAGTGAATCAAATGAGAAATGAGACCACACAAGGAAATGCTGAAACAAAACGGCAGGCCTCCGCAGGTTTTGGTGTAGGAAATGGAGCAGAGAGTTTCAGTAGATGTCAGTGTTACTAGCAAGATGGAAAGTATGTTTCCTGTCATCTTCCTTTAGGTCAGCTTGGTGGTTCCTAATACTCCCTACATCTATACCCGCTTTACACTATTCACTTGCTCTCTCTCCTCTATGGATGAGAAACTGATGGCTTTCCAAAGTGCACATGTCATCTTGGAGGCCACAACTTAACCTTATGGGTGTTCTCTTCTAGTTTATTTCCAGTGATGGCCACGTTACATTTGTTCTGTGGTCCTTTCGTTCCAGAGGTTCTTTTCCCCTCCAAAATGCTAGCTCTACGAGCTGCTTTTGGAAACAGATATTCCAGCTGTTTTTCTGCTTCTGGCATCATCATCAATATTAGAAATTGGGTAGTGGGATTTTTACTATGCACAGTGCAAAAATGGAGTCCAGCTCAGTTCTTTTGGAGCTGAGTTGGCCCCAGAAAAAAGTAACTAATTGGGAATAAAGATACTTTCCCTTTCTAGCAGGCTTAGCAGCCATGAGTGTCTGTCATAAGAGATGTGGCCGTGGGCTAGAGCTCTGACCAGTATTGGAAGGACTTTCCAGTCCCAAATGCCATTCCACTTCCTTGAGGGCTACGGCTTCTAATCAGGTCTTAACTGAGGGTGTTTGCTGTGCACCAGGCACTCACAATGCAGAGAGTGGAAAGCCAGGTCTAGTTTAGCAGAGGTTGGAGCCAGACTGTGTAGCTGCCCATGTGATATGTTTGCTTTTGTGAATAATTACAGACCACCTACTATGTGCCTTTGGGGATTCAGAGACAAACGTCACAGGACCTGTAATCTGGGTTTGAGGATGGGAGGCAGGGAAGTGTAGAAGATAGTAAAACAACATCCTGATGGCTATAACCGAGGTTTGCCCACAAGGCCTTGGGACACAGGAGAGGGAAAGACTCAGAGAGGTGGAACACCAGAGCTAGGCTTTAAAGGAAAGGGATGTTTATGCCAGATCAGGTAGAAGAGGAAGGAAAGAGAAGCTCAGACACAGAAAGAAGCATAAAGATGCCTATTTGGGGACTCTGAATAGTTAAGCTGGGCTAGAATAGAACACATGGATGAAAAGGCTAAAATAGAACACATGAATAGAACATATGGATGAGTGGGGCTAGAAAGGTCTCTTGAAGCCACATTGTGGAGGACCTCGAATGTTGAGCTAAGAGAATTTAACTTTATTGGGTTGCCATTCATTGACATCACTGTCAATGTCATCATTGTCATTATCACTGTGTTTACTGAACATTTACCATAGAGGGCAGACTTCAGGCTCTGAAAACAGCAGATTGTGGTCAAGTCTCAGCTGGGTCACCAAGCAGTCACAGAGCCATGGGAAAATTATTTAAACTCTTTGATTCTTAACTTCCTTTGTGTAGTGTGGGGATAATGTCATCTTCTTTGAAATGTTATTGTGAGGATTACATGGAGCAATGCATGGAGCTTAGCATGGTGAGCAGAACATGCACAGGGACACAGGACACACTTGCTAAATGGTGCAGCTACTATCATCAGTTGCTAAAAGCTTTACAAGCATTTTATCATTTAATCATTATAACAACCGTGCATGGTGGATATCAGTAGACCCATTTTGCAGATAAAGAATTGAAACTCACAGGAATTAAGCGACAGAATCAATATTGCTGCACTAGTGAGTGTACGTGCCTGACCTGAGGACTGGACCTCCTGCCCCCCACCAAGTTACCTTTCTCATAGGGAAGTGAGAGGTTACAGAAAGGCAATGGCACAGTCAGGCCAGGACATTAGAGAGACTATTGTCATCCTCAGTCTGCATCTCACGTTATTTTTGGGTGAATTCCAGAGATCTAAAGGCTGCAGTGAAGACACTGCTGCCATGGAAGCCTCCAGAACAGCCTGGCAAGACACAGAGAAGATTGGGTTCAGGGCTGCATGTATCTATCAACTCATTTATGCCTAAATTTAGAAAGGGTGCCATTTTCTGGAATTAGTCTGTATTTCAAACACTGAACTAATTGTATGAGTTTCAAGTAACTAAAATATTGACAGCACTAATAGCCCTGGATAGCATTGCATAAGGGCAGGCTATTTGAAAAGAGCCATTTCCACCAACAAGGAAATTGGTAAAGTAGGACTCTTGCTTTGTTAAATTATAACACATTGGACATCCCAAATACATTCAAAATCTGTTTCCTATGCTCTTTCCCACTGAGCCCCTTACACAAAGTATTTCTGTTATTCCTCAGTGGAAAATCTCAGGTTCTGGTCAAAATCCAGGTGACTTCTCATGGTAGTCTCTTAAAAAGAGCAAATAGGGCCAGTTATGGTGACTCATGCCTGTAATTTCAGCACTTTGGGAGTCCAAGGCAGGAGGATTGTTAGAAGCCAGAAGTTTGAAACCAGCTTAGACAACAGCAAACTCCATCTGTACAAAAAATTTTAAAAAATCAGCCAGGCATGGTGGTGTGCACCTGTAGTCCCAGCTACTTGGAAGAGTGAAACAGGAGGATTGCTTGAGCCCAGGAGGTTGATGCTGCAGTGAGTGAGCCATGATTGTGCCATTGAACTCCAGCCTGGGTGACAGAGTGAGACCTTGTCTCAAAAAAAACCTAAAAACTAAAAACTAAAAAAGCAAACAGACATAATCTCACATGGAGAAGAAGGGATAAAAAGCAAGCTTCCATGGATGTGGAATGGTGGTGTAAGTTAAAGTCAGATGGATTCAGCCCTGGCCTAATTATCAGCTGACCTTGGTAATGTTCCTTTTCCATGACATACGTAGGCTACCTTGTTTCTCTGTATCTCAATTTCAACTACTCAGATTTGGCCTGGATCACAGAGATCACAGACTCAACATCTCGGGTCCAGAGAGGTAATGAACATGCATAAGTGAAGCCAGGTGAATACAGTAGTCAGTGGTGGAGCTTGTGGCCAAAGGAGAGCACTTGCTCTTCTAAAGGTGTGTACATTTAATTAAGGAGACATGAAACAGAAGCAGAAGCCCACCCAAATGAAGCCCACCAAATGAAACACTTCTCTAGGCCATCAATTTATGACCCATATGAGATACTAAATTCCAGCTTTTTATAATCAGTGCATGATGCAGTATCAAAATCATGAGCCTTGGAGTAAGGCTTGTGTTGGCATGGCAGAGCGGCCACCCATTAGCTATGTGGCCTGATGAGATTGATGGAACCCTTTTAAGTCTCAGTGTTCTCATCTGCAAAATGGGTGTGATGATATTTTCCCATTGAGAAAAGTAGAAGAGAGCATAGTTGTAAAGTCCTTAGTACAGTTCCTGCCCTGTGTATGGGTACATCAGAGGCTGGCTCCCCACGCCTGCTCCCTTCCCTTCTAGCTCTGACAGTCTGTGTTCTGGGTCGTGGTATATAAAATTCTGAAACTATTAAGTAGAAGGTAATACATTTTAGGTATATTTCCAACTGACATTACACTATTGATAAATTAATAACAGGAAGTTGATATTGAACTGTATGTTAATATATCTGCTTATGAGTCAGAAGACTCAGTACTTTCTCTGGCTGGTTCTGCACTTTATCAGTGATCTAAGAGAAGCTGAGTGTAGCTGGCTTAAGGTAGGGAGGGGCAGTTAGTCATCAGATGTTAAAATGGGGAGGAGAAGGGTCCCTGTCAGCTTGAGCGAGGGATCAGAATCCATGGGATCAAAATTCAGCAGAGACAATGAGGCCTGTGCCATGTCTGAATGCATGTCTATGCTAGGTGGGGAAGGACAGAAGAGTGTTAAGTCCTAGCAGGTTTAGGGCAAGGTCAGTAATAGTCCCAAGTGAAGTGAGGACATCATATAATGAATTTCACCTTTTGGGGGTGGGTGAGCTTAGCGTCCAGCTGGGTGGGCAGGCTCTGAGCTGGGGCACAGACATGTCCACTTCCAGGACCCCCAGAAAGTCAGGACCAAGCTGGGAGGTCCCGGGCAGGCAGGCTCTCTACAGATGGGGACCTTCTAGAGCAACAAGCCCTACTTTCATGCTGGGGACCACACTGGGGACTGTTGTACCAGGGCCTGGAATGGGTGTTAGGATACTGATTTGGATTAGCCTGGGCCTGGGACCAGAGCTTAGAATGGGGACAACAAATTGGAGGGTAGTCCTGTCATCTGGAGCATCTGGTGGAGGCTGCTTCAGAGACTTGGGGGCTTCTCAGATCAGCTGTACCAGAAGTGGGTGAATCTCCAAGCAGTTCTCAAGAGCAAGGTCAGTGCTCGGTCTCCAGGCTTCCCAGCCCTCCAGGACTGGCAATCTGAGGAGTTCAGGGCTCTATGCACAGTGTTTGCCTTGCCCATGCGCTGGCATGGGGCAGGGTATGGCCAGCAGCACAGCGAGCCCCTTTGCAGGGCACCCGAGGGCCCGAATGTTGCAACTCTGCCTCATGACCCCCCAACCTTTTGAAAGGCTCTGCTTACTCTCACCTGCCCCGCCTTCACATGTGCTGTTTCCTTTCCCCGAAAGCCCATTTTCCTCACCTGCCTAGCTCTCTCTTCATTATCCTTCAACGCTTCATTGGCACATCACTCTTTCTGACTATCTGTCAGCCCTCTGGGTTAGGCGCGCCTATTGTGTTTTAGAGTAGCCTGTGCTTACTAGGCGGCTATTCTGTCTAATGTCTAAGGCAGAGATGGGCACTAGGGAAACCAAGGTGAAGAGTCACGGGTCGAGCAGCCACCCACGGTGTTGTGGGGGTGGGAGAGGAGAAGAGAGAGAGAGAGAGAGAGAGAGAGAGAGAGAACCAGCCATAGTGTGAAATTTAACATGATTGAAGTATGGACAGTGCTGGTTGGGAAAGTCAGAAAAAGTTTCTTGGATGAAGGGACACGTGACTTGCCTCTTGAGTAATAAGCAGGAGCTCAGCAAAGGGATGGGATTGGAAAGGACATTCCCAGCTTCAGGCATTACTGGAAAAGGGCATGGTGTTTAGCAGAAGCTGAGACTGTCACTACGGCTGCAGTACAGAGGGGACAAAAGTGGAGGATAGGAAGAAAAATGGGAAAGAGAGAAATATGCTGTAGATGTGAGATCCTGGACTTCTGTTTACAGGACGAATTGCCCACCATCTGCATGTAATTTGGAAAGGAAACAGAAAGTTTGGAGCAGGCACCCACCCATCCCCATGGTTACAGATCTGCCTAGTTACGTTGAGGAAGCCAGGCCCTTTACATGTGGATTCTGCTGGTTCCATGGGGGTTGGAATCTCTTACACCTAAACCACGATCATAAACTCCCAAGCCTACCAGGCCATAAGGGCACTGTGAAGCAGCATATCAGGCTGAGGGACCATGGCAAAATGGAAAGTTCATGCTCATATAAAGAGAGACATAATTCTAAGTAGGCAGTGGTAAAAGCCATAACTTGTCAAGTAAAGCTCATCCGTAGGCCCCATTTATTGCTGGCATTTCACTTACAGTCTTTTGATAAAGAGCTTAAGTCACTTAAAGTCTATCATCTCTCTTCAAAATCATGAAGAAAAGGACATTTTGACCAAATTGGAACAAATCATTAATCCAAGTTTGAGTAGCTCAGTAAAGCCCCTAGTGCTTTCAGAGTGTCTGGGGCAGCAGGCACTGGGCCTCTCTGGTGGTTTTCATTTCTGTGTGAGAATGACTTGGTTCATATGCAGAAGACGCACATATCTTGGAATGCTGAACCCAACACCCATGCCTCTTTAGGGGACCTATTGCTCCAGGACCCAGCGCTCGCTGGGCTTTGGGGACCATATTAATCTGGACCAAGAGAGAAAGTGGGGAACAGAGAGAGAGCGATACATAAGAATGAACATCCACAGACAGACAGCGTGGACTTAAAGGCTAGGTCGTTAAGTGAAGAATGCAGAAAATTCCTTAAGGCTGCCCCGCAAATCACTCTGTGCTAATTTGCCTTGCGGGCCCAGCCCGCTGGCCAACCTGGTGACCCTGTGCTCTTACCACTGAGTCCTAATTGCACCTCCATCCCGTCTCCTGCGTTGGAAGTAATATGCGTTAGGAAAATCAATCCATTTGTAGGAGGAGAAACCACACTGGTTTCCTGCTACTGCTATCTTCACTAAAACCCCATTTTACTGGAACTAACGTTGAAAAAAACAGCGCATTTTATTCAAAACAAGGCAATATTGGTATTGACAGAGCTGCAGTGATAATGAGGACGATCAATTTTCTCTCCTCCATTACGGGGTATTGAGCAATTTTGGAGTAAACTTGTGGCATCATTAGACAAGATCAGCATTTCTCCCTTTTGAAAACTTTCAGTTTTTCTTTTTTGCATATTTAGATTTTAAGTATTCCTGCTATGTTGGGGGGAAAGAAGCAAAACCAAAACAAACCAGAACAAACCCAGAAGTCCCCAAAGCAATAAGTGAAGTGCTGGTAATAAAAACTGGAAATCATAGACATTTCTTTTTAATTCTTTTGAATAATACATTGTGATGTTATTTTTGCCTTTTGGTTCATACAGACTGCATCCCAACTCTCACCCTAAATTGAAATAATGCAGTTACCACATAAAATAATCCAAGTTTTGGGAGATGAGATATTCAAGGCAAGAGGGTGGATGTTACTTTTTTGTTTTGAGAAGAGAAGCAGGGGCTGGGCTTAGGTGGATGAAGGAAGAGAGAGTTGGAGCCTCAGAAAAAAGGCCTTGGGAAGGGAGTCAAGGACTTCGGGTGGATTTCCATGGGGAAGAGTGAAAGTGATGGAATAGTTCAGAGCAAATTAACTTTGGCACTTCTGCTTTCAGTTTCTGATCCTTGTTGGGCTACACATGTCCATCTGCCAGTTCAGGCTGGCTGTGCAGATGCCACATTCTGGGGAAGGGGACCCTGTCTTCCAGGCAAGACCTCTCCTCCATATCAGTGACATCATGTGCTCAGGAAAACAGCAATGCTGGCAAATGGTCACATTTCAGAATGGCAAAATGCAGCCTGGGAAGGATGTCCCCCTGGAAAGTTAATCTAATGTAGTTTTATCCCCCTTCCCCCAGTGCTCACCTTTTAAACCAGAAAAGTTATTGAAGATGTCTTAGAGATGGGGATTTCTCTGAATGCCATCAGTGTGAGGCAAGAGCTACAGGGCCCATGTGTTTGGAAGGCAGGCGGGAGGCTGTGACAGGGGCCTGGGTGAGCCATCCAATTTTTAAAACAATCTAGAAATTGTTGATGAACAGTGTAAATATCTTTCTTCATACATTTTAATCCTTGAAACATATGTGCTACAAAACTGTGTTAGCTACATATGGAAGAACACTATCTTATTTCTGTCACTTAGTGCTAGCAACATACTCGACCATTTTTAGGAGGGAACCCCTCAAATGACTGCCCGCGTGGAGAGGAGATGGTGGAATGAGGTGACTCTGAGCAAGAGTCATGTGCTCTTGGCAATTTCCATCTCTGGGCTTAGCTTCCCCATCTGTAAAACGGGTATGATAATTGTGCCTCCCTCACAGGCTTCTCACAGTGATTGCATAATCCATACATGTCAAAATGCTTAGAAAAGGGCCTGCTGCAGCCTAAATACCCAGGAAATATTCTCATCCCAGGATAAAATTTGGCCCTCACAGTAGATGCCAGGCCTTGAGTCCCTTCTAACTTCAAGAGCCTTGTGAAATGTGTGAGAGGCTGCAGGGACCACCCCATCTGCTGTGCTCGATGTTGTAAATTCTCTGCTGGAGCACGTTTCAAACTGTGCTGGGACAATGTGTCTGCCCACGTGTATCACCTTTAATCTGTGAATCCCTTGAAAGCAGGGACAGTGTCTTATTCATCTTTAAACGCCTAGAGCTTTACCCAGAAGTTGATGTTGAGAGCCACTTCATTCTTGTTTGAGAAAGAATAGGAAGAGAGGAAGCAGGGAGGACTCCAAGAAAGCTCTTACTGGGTGGTGTAACAGGTGGTCTGTGATGTGAAGAGACCAGACCCTAGTCCTCCTTAGAAAGAGATTATTCAGGTAGTGCATTCACAGCTTCTCCTGGCTTCACTTTGGTGGTCTAGAACTCATTTACATGGCCATTGATCTCCTTTCTTGAAACTACAAACTGCGGCAAAGGTATAAAACATGGAAAGAATGCTGGTGCCTCAGGTCGGGTTCCCTGGGAGTGGAGCCTGAGACAGGGGTCCAGGTATGTGGGATTTGTTGAGGGAAGGACTCGGGAGGGAAGGAGAGTGAGGGAAGCCGGGCAGGGAAAGAGCTGAAGGAGGATGCGCTCACAGCAAAGTCTTGTCTCAGCCGGAGCCCCTGGGATTCTGAGGCATGAATTGCACAACACAGTCCCGAGGGCACTGGCCTCATTGGCTCCAGCCTGGAGTATGTGTGTGTGTGCACACAGGCATGTATGGTGTGTGTGGATGTGTGTGTGGACACATGTGCGTGTACCTGTGTGTATGGACGCGTGTGCGTGTGTATGTAAGTAGGGGGCATGTAAGTGTGTGTGTATGTGTATTTGGGTGGGTAGGGCTCCATGGCCCCTGGGCAGGGCAGCTCTTACCTAGTGGAGGGCAGTTCTTTTTTTTTTTTTTTTTTGCATTTTCTTTTTTTTTTTTTTTATTATACTTTAAGTTTTAGGGTACATGTGCACATTGTGCAGGTTAGTTACATATGTATACATGTGCCATGCTGGTGCGCTGCACCCACTAACTCGTCATCTAGCATTAGGTATATCTCCCAATGCTATCCCTCCCCCTTACCCCCACCCCACCACAGTCCCCAGAGTGTGCTATTCCCCTTCCTGTGTCCATGTGATCTCATTGTTCAATTCCCACCTATGAGTGAGAATATGCGGTGTTTGGTTTTTTGTTCTTGCGATAGTTTACTGAGAATGGTGATTTCCAATTTCATCCATGTCCCTACAAAGGACATGAACTCATCATTTTTTATGGCTGCATAGTATTCCATGGTGTATATGTGCCACATTTTCTTAATCCAGTCTATCATTGTTGGACTTTTGGGTTGGTTCCAAGTCTTTGCTATTGTGAATAATGCCGCAATAAACATACGTGTGCATGTGTCTTTATAGCAGCATGAGAAAAAAATGCTCATCATCACTGGCCATCAGAGAAATGCAAATCAAAACCACAATGAGATACCATCTCACACCAGTTAGAATGGCAATCATTAAAAAGTCAGGAAACAACAGGTGCTGGAGAGGATGTGGAGAAATAGGAACACTTTTACACTGTTGGTGGGACTGTAAACTAGTTCAACCATTGTGGAGGGCAGTTCTGCAGAGAAGGGGAAGCCGTGGCAGGTATACCTCTCATCTGGAGAAGGAGATCTGCATGGAGCACAGTAGCATCCACTGGGACAAGGAAAATTCCATTAAGATCTAACCTGTATCCCTCTCACTTGATACGACATCTTATCCAGCAACAAAAGAGAATGTGGACAGTCCTAAGAGTTTTTGTAAAGGAACATCCCACCCAATCCAAACCCTTTATCCAGCCTGGGAAGGATAATTCCAAAGATTTATCTTTTACAATGAAAGAATGATTGTAAAAGCAATGTGTGGTATTAGGCTCAAATATTTACTGAGCCCAGTCTATGCACTCTTTTCTATGTGCTTCAAAGGACATAAGCAGAGGGAAGTAGCTGGAAACCTAGTTCAGGGTTAAGATAAGAGCACAGCTATTCATGTGGCAGCATGTGCTTAGGACTGAGGGACAGGCACAGGATGATGGGAGGGTGGGCGGAGGGAGATGGCACCCAGGGGATGAGAGTGGCTTCAGCAAACGCTTCTCCCCAGAGACTTTAGTTGGCCTGCAGACTTTGAGTGTGGTTTGAGATGTCTGTGGTGGGGCCTGTATCTGTCAAGGCAGAGTGTGTATGTTTGGTAAGTGGTACTTCTTTTAGTCTTGTACTCCCAGGCAGATTCCACCTTTTACTCCGGGGGTGCGAACTCCAACACAGGAACTGTTAGGGGAGTAAAGCCAAGCTGGGGGGGATGTTGGACCCCTGGAGGGCACAGCTCCCACCCAGCACCAGCCACCTTCCCCCCACAGAGGTGCAAGCCAGCATGGCCAGATCGTCCCATCTTTTGAGAGAGGCCACAAGTCTGGATTTTTATGTGACATCTTCAGACTTTTCAATGCTAGCAGTTAATTCAGAAACTGCTGAAATATTGTGTGGGTCAAACACAGCACGTCTAAGAGGCAGACGCAGCCTCCTGCCTGCTGGCATGTGGCCTCCATCTTTAGCCATTGACCTCTCCCCACACTGACCTGGGCAGCTTGTGTCCTGCCAGAGGCTGCCTCCCACAGACTTGCCCCCCGCCAGGTGAGGAGGGCACTGGAAGAACCCTGAGACAGGCGTGGGTGTAGTGGGGATGGGGTATGGTGGGCGCAGTCTCCTTGTTCCACAACTCACCCCAGGCCAAGTTGGAGCCTATAAAAGCTGTCCACAAGGTGTTCTGCCCTGGAGGGCTCACAGCTTGCTTTGGTCACTCTTAGCTTTCCGAGGAGATCCAGTGCTCCCTGGCCAGTCATATCCAGTCCCTGGTGAAGTCGGAGAAGAACCGCCAGGTCATGTGCGAAGCAGGCTTGCTTGGGACCCTCATGGCCTCCTGCCACAGGGCCCTGGTCACCAGTGGCAGCCCCCTCCACTCACGCCTCATCAGGATCTTTGAGAAGCTCGCTTCCCAGGCCATTGAACCGGATGTGCTAAGGTACCACATGCTGCATATTCAGTGCCGCCAAGCTGGGCAGCCATGTCCTTTGCAGGGCAGGGGTTGCACAATGGGCAGTGGAGAGACTGCAGGGACAGATGGAGGGCACGGCTCTGTCCTGGCATTCAAGGCTGGAGTCCATGGCTGAGCCTTGGGTCTGTGCCAGGCAGTGTGCAGGTGCCCACAAAGCAGACATAGCCCCCTCTAATGGATCACGTGGGGGCTGGAGGGGGCTCCAAGGAAGTGGAGCTGCATTCCGAGGCCTGTAGAGTTCACTAGACAAAGAGAGGAGGGAACTGGGCCTGGAAGGCTCTGCCGGGAGGGGTGGGGCTGGGAGGGGCTGACTGTGTCCTGTAGGGAGTTGGGCAGTAAGCATGTAGGGACTGCAGACATGGAGGAGGATGGGGCAGAACCCACCTGGATCCTCCAGGGGGCTTTCCTGCTGTCAGCCTCTACATGAAGCCACATTCCTGGAGAGCCATGGCAGGGAGAGAAAGTGCAAAGGTGCACAGGGTGGGAAGCAGGGAGCAGACGTGGAAGACAAGAGAGCAGAGGGAAGGGAAGCTACTGGGGAGGGCAGGAGTCTCCTATGCCACCTGGAGTGCTGAGGGCCATGCACAGAGCGGGGGGCCCTGCTGCTTATACACAGGAGCAAGTGTAGAGGGCGCACAGACAGCCTTTCCAGCCAGCAGACATGGGACCCAGGGGCGGGCACGACAGCTGCCAGAGGAGGCTGCTGGTTATAGTGCTGCATGGGAAATTCCATTAGAAACTTATAAACAATTACTACAAATTTACTTTGTGACATTATTTTTTGTTATGACATCCATCTTGAGGCTCCTAAACTTACCAGCTCTCTGGTCTGGTCTGGCTGGCAGGGCAGAGACACCCTGTCTCCACATTGCTTTCAGAAAGGGTGTTCCAGTGGGGCTGGGAGGTCAGGGAGCTCCAGGCATCTAGGACAGTTGTCAGGATAAAGTTGGAGAACACTGTTGCTAGTAAAATGTCTTCATTTTTTCCTCTTGTATGTTATGTTCAGACAGTTTCTAGGTCTTGGAATTCCCTCATCTCTGTCGGCCACAACAAAAATCCTTGATTCATCTCACACACACAGAGGCAACCCTGGGTGCTCAGGTGAGGACAGTGGCAAGAACGGGGCAGGTTAATGGGAAGTAAAAGATGATAGGCATTCCTGCTGAGGGATCCTTTACAACAGGTGGGAAAGCAAACAGGTTTAAACATGGTTTTGTCTGCTGCTCAATGCAGCAACTGAGGAAAAAGCAAAGAAATTCCTGGTCTCTGGAGAAAGACCATATCCAGATGGAGAAAGATGAACCCCCACCCAGACATATAAGACAGATGATCCCTTTGGGTTCCAGATCATGGAAGCAGAGACAGAGTTTCCTTCATGACACAGCAGTACGTGGCGCTGCACTAGACAGAGGTGTGCAGGGAAGGCTTCTGTACAGCTCACAGCTCAAGGGCATGTCAGAGCCTTGGAGGCCCAAGATGCAGGTGGTACCCCTGTGTCAGGCCTAGTACCTGGGGAATGTTGGCCAGGGAACCAGCTTAGAGAAAAGAAACTCGTGGACATCTTGAATGTAAGATCACATAAGACCTCAAGGAAACAGGCAGGCCCAGTGGAGAAGCAAGGGTGCGGGATCAGGCTTGGGGCTGACAGCTGCGGTGGGAGCCCAGAGCTTACAAGGAGAGGCTGCTGTGAAGGAAAGTGTGGGCTTTGTGAGCAGACACAAAGCTCCAGTGAGTAACTCCAATGGGGCAAGCCAGAGACAGAGGTGGCAGCAGTAGAATGTGCTATGCTGGAAAAGGGATCTGTGCTGGAATGAAAGAAAAGTTTCTAGAAGGAGCAGGTTAGCAACACCATTCCTTGTTATCAGACTCAGCAGGGGGCCCGGGCTGGGGGCCAGGGAGCCACCCTCGCTGGTGCTTAGGAAGTACCTGGTGACTGTGCGAAACTCTCTTTCTGGGCTGCGGCAGATACTTTGGGGTTATTGTCAGAAGCGAGACAGAAATGCTTTGAGCAGAGACACATCTCTTCTCTTGCTTGCTGCCCTAGGGTCACAGACTGCACAGGGCTTGGCTGAGGGGCCCTGGCCAGCTGCCCCAGATGCTGGGCTGCACCCTGGAGTCACACAGGCCCCGCAGCCCTTGGGGGAATCCCAGGATTCAACTACTGCTCTTCAGACGGCGCTGAGCCTCATCTCCATGACCTCCCCACGCAACCTGCAGCCTCAGAGGGCAGCCCTGGCCCCATCGTTTGTGGAATTTGACATGTCCGTGGAAGGTTATGGGTATGACAGGCTTTCACATATTTAAAATGCACTTTATTAATTTTGCAGTGCCTCTGATGAATTATAATATTGATTGCAAACTTGTAGTTCCCATTGAATCTCACCACTCAGCAGAGGAAAATGTCTGGGTCATGGACACCCGCCTACTCAGCGGCCTCCCAGGGGCTGTGTCCCCAGCTATGGAGGGCCAAGACCCTCTTTTCCCTGGTGTGGCTGCATTCTGGAACACCCTCCCATCCTGCCTGCAGTGCAATTCCTTCCCTTAGGCATCCTACCAGCACCAGCTGCAGTCCATCCTTGGGACCTTATGGTCTAAGGAGGGTTACAGTGCCGGCAGGAGGGTAGAGTGGGAAGATGTCATGGCCCAGACTAGCTGTGTCAGTGCAAGAGATTGGCTTGCAGTCCAATGATCTGAGACAATTTTCTATTTCCAGCTGTTTGTTTATTCCAACCCTGTCCACAGTTATGGGAACCAGCACTGAGTACTCTGTCTCTGGAGGAATTGGGACAGGTAGGTGTTTTTCCCAGATGGTTTAGCTCTCCATCCCTTCCAAAGTATGAGTCTTCAGATAGCCTTGATTGCAGATTTTTACTTGGTGTTTCAATAAAGTGTGAGCTGTGCTGGGCATGGTGGCTCACACCTGTAATACTGCAATTTGGGAGGCCAAGACAGGAGGATTGTTTGAGGCCAGGAGTTCCAGGCTGCAGTGAACTATGATTGAACCACTGCACTCCAACCTGGGCTACAGTGTAAGACCCAGTTTCAAAAAAAGAAAAGCAAACATGAGTCTTGCCTTGGTCCTGAGTATCTGCAGATGAGTTGTTCTTCAACTTTGCTCCTCTTTTAGAGCAAGATGTTCTGTTCATTGTGCATCCCAAGGGTCCAGCCTATAGCTAGGGACTCAATTGACATTGAAAAATTGGCTCATTTCGCTGGTGACTGATGTAGGCTGAGATGGACACATTACCTGCCTTAGATCTCTCTCTAGAGAGAAATATGAGTTGGGCTGATGGCCGTTGAGAATAGACCAATCTTTGGCAAGTGGCTTCTATGCACAGCACTGCACTTAGCTGAAAACACGCTGGGTGGGACAGTGCAAGTGCCTGATGCTGCCTGAGCCACACGCTCTGTTAGGAGAATTGGGTTTGGGGTTTCTATGGGATCATGGGTGCTGGGGAGCCATTGCCTTCATGACGTTTTTCCATGTGAGTTGGCACCAAGTCTGAGGACACAGCAGCTGATCCTGCCTGTTCTGTGAGGACAATGGACCTGTCTATATCGCCAACCCTGTTATGTGATGGGAGGGCACATGGCATTCCTAGATTGGTGCCCTTTCCTATCCAAGGTTCAGCTGAGCTAGGCCAAGGTCCTCTGCCCCACAGAGCACACTGCCTGGCTATAGATCAGCTGACCAGGAGCCCACGTGTGACGGACCTCAGGGAGATCGAGATCTTCTCTGCTCCCTTGGCAAGGCAGCATGCCATAATGGGGAGGAGACAACTGGTGATTAGGCAAGACACCCAGTAGGTGCTGCACCTGGGCTAAATCAGCACCATAGTGAATCTGAACATGCATGCTCAGCAGGGCAGAACAAAGCCTGAGGGCATGCCTGTGTTCCCACCCAGGTGCCACCAGACCGTTCCCTCCTCCTGGAGGTCTGACCTTCTCCTGCTGGTTCCTGATCAGCCGGCATGGAGCTGCCACTGAGGGCCACCCGCTGCGCTTCCTGACGTTGGTGCGCCACCTGGCCAGGACTGAGCAACCCTTTGTTTGCTTCTCCGTCAGCCTCTGCCCAGACGACCTCTCCTTGGTTGTTTCTACAGAAGAGAAGGAGTTTCAGCCTCTGGGTAAGGTGCTGGGATCCAAAGCCAGTTTCATCCACATGTGGGGGAAATGGGGCTAAGTCAGAAGCTCTCAACACAGGTGTGGTTAGAAACCTGGTGACCTTCTGTTTCTCCTCATCCTTTGAAATTGCTCCCTTGGGTTCCATACCTGGTGAAAGGTCTACAATATTTGTTGTGGTTCACTGTGGCCTGGGCTCTAGGCTTGTAAGTGTCAGGCAGATGAGGCCCCAGCCCTTGGCACAGCTTCAGAGATGATGCTCAGTGGCTTTTCAGAAACTTCGCCCTGGCAGAACAGTCACAATGGGACCCAGGGCTTTGCCTTGCTGGGACACAGGCTGCATCCTCTCCTGAGTGAGGTTTGTGAAGAACACACACAATTTAGCTGGAGCCGAAGCAGCTACAGACATATAGGCGCTCCCACATATGCTCAACCCCAAACCCAGAAGGCTGGCCCATGCTTGGCATGGCGCCCAGGGCCACCCCTCCTTTGGCAGTGCTAGAGGCCAGCCCTGGCTCTGCCCTTTGGAGCCCAGCGTTGTTCTCCAGGCTCATTTGCCTGAGATGGTCAAGTCCAGTGGATTCTGTCCACTTGTTCTTCTCCTGTGTCCTGAGAGTGTCACTGTTTCATA